>NC_000006.12:3544848-3696363 GCF_000001405.40 Homo sapiens | reverse complement strand
AACACTAAAATAGAAAGTTACCTTACAATCTCTACCTGATCATCTATAATTTAGTAATGACTGATGAGCTGAATCATATTTTCTCAAAGTATCCTTTGGCCCCTTTTCCTTTCCCCAGGCTTGAAGAGCTCTTTCTAATTACTTAGCCTTCAATGTTCCTAAATGTGCTCCTCCCCTTTTGTTTCTCCCCTGGTTCTCTGCTCTCCCACTCCCCACCTGGCCTTTTGGAGACTGGGATTTGCAGAAGCTTCATCATGCATCACATTTTCATGTTCAGTTTTAATGCCTCAAATGAGTCTTTTCAATCCCACAGCTCTTTAACTCATCCTGTATTAATGAGTGCTCTTCTCTTTATAACTCCTCACCATTGTTCCCCAGCTGGAGGAAGGAGCCGTCCCTCTGCCTGCGCAGCTAGCTGCAGGAGAAGCCCACAGCCACTGCATCCTCCCACCAGCAGCCTAAACCCTCATGGTTAGCTTTGGCACTACCAGAAGTTTCCTCACAACCACAAACTCTGCCTCCCTTAAAAAAATGTTTTTGAAATTGATGCATAATAGTAGCATGTATTCATGGGGTAGATGAGGTTTTTTTTTGATACATGCATACAATGTGTAATGGGTAATTGGCATATTCATCACCTCAAACATTTATCATGTTTGTGTTGGGAACATTGGGTGCAAAATACAGTTAGAAGGAATAGGTTCTAGGGTTTGAGAGCACAGTAGGGTGACTATAGGTAACAAGAATTTATAGTACAGTTGACCTTTGGACAACATGGGAGTAGGGGGAGGGCCAACCCCCTCGTGCAGTTGAAAATCTGTGTATAACTTTTGACTTCCCTGAAACTTACCTAGTAATAGCCTACTGTTCACCAGAAGTTTTATTAATAATGTAAATAGTCAGTTAACACATTTCTTCTATGTATTATATACTGTATTCTTACAATAGAGTGAGCTAGAAAAAAGAAAATGTTATTAAGAAAATAAGGGTGGGACACAGTGACTCATGCCTTTAATCCCAACACCTTAGGAAGCTGAGATGGGAGGATCACTTGAGCCCAAGAGTTTGAGGCCAGCCTGGGCAACACAGCAAGACCCCAGTTCTACAAAAAAATGGACTAAATTAGCTGGATGTGGTGGCATGCACCTGTAGTTCTAGCTACTTGAGAGGCTGAGGTGAGAGGATCACTTGAGGCCAGAAGTTTGAGGCTGCAGTGAGCTATGATCACACCACTGCCCTCAAGTCTGGGCAACAGAGTAAGACCCTGCCTCTAAAACAAAGAAAATCATACGGAAGAAAAAATATATTGAATATTTATTAAGAGGAAATGGATTATCAGAAAGGTCTTGACCTTGTCATCTTCACACTGAGTACAATAAGGAGGAGGAGGACAAGGAGGGGTTGGTCTTGCTGTCTCAGGGGTGGCTGAAGTGGAATAACATCTACTTACAAGTGGACCTTCACAATTCAACACTTGTTCAAGGGCCAACTCTATATTTCAAAATAGCTAGGAGTCAAGATTTAGAATGTTCCCAACATAAAACAACCTTTTTAGTTTGAAATAATTTTAGACTTACAGAAAAGTTTTAAAAATATTTCTTAGAATTCCTGTACACCATTCACCCAGACTGCCCTAACATTAATGTCTCTGTACCCAGAGTTCAGGGACCAAAACTATGAAATTAACATTAATACAACACAATACTAAACTATAGTCATTATTCATATTCTCCCAGTTTTCCAGCTAATGCCTTTTTTTTCTGGTCCAGGATCCAATCCAAGATTTCACCTTGCACTTGGTCTTGCCTCCTTGGTCTCCTCCAGCCTTAGATGGCTCTTCAGTCTTTCCTCGTCTCTTATAACCTTGGCGATTTTGCAGAATTGTAGGTTTTTTCCTCTCGATTTGAGTTCATCTTATGGTTTCTCCTCATTAGATGGAGGTTATGCATTTCTGAAAAGAACATTACAGAAGCAATGCACTCTGCTCAGTCCATCATATCCAAGGGTGCGTGACTTCAATATGTCTCATTACTGGTATTAACTTTGCCAACGTGGCTAAGGTCAGGTCTGCTGGACTCCTCCATTCTAAAGTTTCTATCTTTCCCTTTGTAATTAATAATAATTGGGGGTGGGGAGAGATACTTTGAGACTATGAAAATATCCTATTTACCCTGAAACTTTGGCTCAATCTTGTTGACATCCATCAGCAGATCATGTCTGCAACAATTACTGTGGTGTTCTAAGAGTGATTTTCAGCGGCAGCTGAAGGCTGGTGAGTCAGAGCCACAATGTTTCAGATCCAGGGCTTTGCGCAGAAGCTGGATATGGAGGAGATGAAATGGAAGTTGTGTGAGGATGTGATCTCCTCCATATGGAACTTCCTCATCTACATGGCCCTGCTGCAAATCATTCCTTTTATCTTAAAGAAATTACACAGCATATGAATATTGAGTATCATATGTGAATGTATAATATGCAGAACCTGGTTACAGTTTCTACAACTCTCTGCAAGCAAATAGGCCCAGAAAACTGTAAGAGACTCTTTAATGGTTGGGTATAAAAATTCTGCTTCTTAAGAACAAGTTTGGCTCAGCTAAACTTGTTCTCAGCCAAAATATAAAACTAATTATAGCTAAAATATGAAACTATTGAGAAGTATGAAAAGACATCTTGTGGTCAGGGTGTGCTGTTGTGCTTGTGACATTTGGCCTCTGTCAATGTTGGTATAATTGTAAATAATGTCAAACTCCATTTTCTAGCATGTATTAATAATAATTAAGGGAACTATGTCTGAAATGGCACTTTTTTTTAAAAGAAAACAAGTTTTATTTTTATCACCAGAACATTCTGATAAAAATATTATGAGATTAGCTACCTTTATTCTCTGGGCCTTGACTGTCCGAGGCCTGCCCTAGAGCGCCTGCACGCTCAGCTCCCTGAGGTAGGTCTGGAGGGAGAGCCCCCACTGCCGCCTGCCCTCGGCCAGGATACCTCTCACCTCATGTCCCCTCCTCCAGACCCCCACAGTCCTGGATGCCCCATAGCAGCCCTACCACGGCTGGCAGAACTGTGAAATGGCACTGTTTTGTCAGACATTTCTGTTTACCTTTTTACTTCTGTACGAAGTGTATTTGTGGAGTCCCTTACAACCAGTCGTGTTTTATGGAAGTCAGCACACAACCACAATGCTATTTAAACACAGGATTATTAGTCTGTTTTTTTTTTTTTTTTTTTTTAAACAGAGTCTCACTCTGTTGCCCAGGCTGGAGTGCAGTGGCGTGATCTCGGATCTTGGCTCACTGGAACTTCCGCCTCCTGGGTTCAACTGATTCTCCTGCCTCAGTACAGGTGTATGCCACCACACCTGGCTAATTTTTGTATTTTTAGTAGAGACAGGGTTTCATCATGTTGGCCAGGATGGTCTCAATCTCTTGACCTTGTGATCTGCCCACCTCGGCCTCCCAGAGTGCTGGGATTACATGCGTGAGCCACCACGCCTGGCCTAGTCTGTTTTTAATGAACATACCAATTAAGAAAAAAAGTGTTTTTCTGTTTCATTATTCCTTGACTAATTGGAATTCTGTAAGGAAGAGCTGTCTCTCTAATATTTATTCCTTTAATTATGTATTTATCAGTATAGGTTTCTGGATATCGACTTTATCCTGTGGGTTATAATTTTGTTGCTCAAATTGTTTCCTCTTTGGTCATTGGTTGCTCCTTGAAGGAGTTCCAGTGTGCTTTTGAGAAATCTCATCCTTTTTTGAGCATTTCCTTATTTTTTGGCATTTCAAGACACTCCAGGCACTTTTTATTGTATATTCCCTGCCCCAGCTCTGGAATCAGCCACTTCTCCGTGGATTCTTGGTTCTTTTTATTGAAGAGTGGTATTTTGAAACCAAGATCTAGACACTAGATGTATTCATTGCCACAGAGGTGTCAATGCTTTCAGGCCATTTAAGCAAACACAGCTAGAAGTAAATGCATGTATACTAATCCATGCATATTCACATTGATATTTATCCCTCTATTTATATTTATATTTAAAAAACGCGAGTTTATACTGATACCTTCATAAATCCAACACCATAGGGTTTATTCTAGCCTTTTCCCTTTCTTTTCTTGTAATCTTTTAAAAGTTATTATTGTGGGCTGGGCACGGTGGCTCATGCCTGTAATCCCAGCACTTTGAGAGGCCGAGGCGGGAGGATCACAAGGTCAGGAGATCAAGACCATCCTGGCCAACATGGTGAAACCCCGTCTCTACTAAAAATATAAAAAATTAGCTGGGCGTGGTGGCACATGCCTGTAATCCCAGCTACTCGGGAGGCTGAGGCAGGAGAATGGCGTGAACCCGGGAGGCAGAGCTTGCAGTGAGCCGAGATCCCACCACTGCACTCCATCCTGGGCGACTGAGCGAGACTTTGTCTCATAACAATAATTTTCTTTTTTTTTTTTTTTTTAACTGATCCATGTTGTCTCTTCTTCTGTTCAGAAGTTTAGCTTTGTGTTGTATTAGTAAAATATACACCCAGTCATTTCCTTTGTAAACATCAAATCATTTCTATGTTCTTCTTTTCAAAGCTTGGAGTTATGAAAGTATAAAATTCAAGCTCATTAAGCACGTAAACTTTAAGATACATTTTAAGAAGCATAAAATACAGAATTTCTGAGTGGTTTCTTCACAATATCTTCAGTGGATATTTGCCCCTAAAATCACTTTTTATAAGAACAATAAAGAGAACAGGAAAAATAGCCTGATATATTGTTTCCTTCTCTGATCTGTTCTGTCTCACTAAGCTACCAATAGCACAGCCCTAAAAAGTAATTCGAGGAGGTTTTTAAGTTCCCCTTATATCCTCTGAAAAGCAACCCAGATAAACATGAGCTCTAAGTAAAAACATTGTTCTTGGGATTCAAACTCAAGATGACAGAATAAACTGCTGCAGGAAGCGTCTCTCATGACTCCATAGATTTATCCTTTTTTTTTTTTTTTTTTTTTTTTTTTTTTTTTTTTTTTTTTTTTTGAGACGGAGTCTCGCTCTGTCGCCCAGGCTGGAGTGCAGTGGTGCGATCTCGGCTCACTGCAAGCTCCGCCTCCTGGGTTCACGCCATTCTCCTGCCTCAGCCTCCCCAGTAGCTGGGACTACAGGCGCCCGCCACCACGCCCGGCTAATTTTTTTGTATTTCTTTTAGTAGAGACGGGGTTTCACCATGTTAGCCAGGATGGTCTTGATCTCCTGACCTTGTGATCCGCCCGCCTCGGCCTCCCAAAGTGCTGGGATTATAGGCATGAGCCACTGCGCCCGGCCCCATAGATTTATTCTTAAAACATGTTTAGGGGCAACTAAAAAAGCTGCCAGGTACCAGAAAAAAATAGAAAATCTACTTCACTGAGTGAGAGGCAAAATTGTATGGCACATAAGTAACTAAACTGGAAATACATTATAGGAGGTGGGGTTGTGATGTTACGGATTAGGGACAAAGTTTTAGGAACTCCTGATACTAGGCTATTCCAAGAAACCTGGAGCCACAAAAAAAAAAATTGTAATTTTGTATATGAATTGAGACTAGGAAAACTCTTGAATATGACCTATGATACAATCAGGAAGCAGGTCTCTGGCCCTGGGCTGTTGGCGAAAATTAAATCAATTGTTAGAAACTGGAAGCCATAACTTCTGCTGAGTGTTGATATGTGGCTAGAATTCTTAACACTATCTATACAGGGTCAAGATCTCTAACAGAAAACTATTCCAGTTCTGGAACAGTTTCAGAGGCAATGGGGAAACACTCCCATAGGAAGCCCTTAGCAACTCAGGGTACCTGTGAGACCTTTGCAAAAGGTATTCCTATTGAAGATGAGCTCACAGACAAAAATTACGAGGCAGATAAGGAATTCATATCAAACACTGGTACAACAATGTTAACTAACTGCACAATAAATATGAGAAAAATATACAAAAGAACCATGGATAACAGAGCAATCAGAAAATAACTTTTAAACAAAGGAAGGAATAGAATATAATAGAACATAAAAAGGAAAAGAACAATGGACTTAAAAATTAGCCAAATAGAAATTCTAGAAAGATAACTTGTGGCCACTGAAACAATAATCTTTCACAGACAGGTTGAACAATAGCTTACATGAAACTGAAGAGAGAATTGATTAACTGGAAGGTATAGCTGAAGAAATCATCTAAAACAGAACACATTTGTGATAAGAGATATAAAATACAGAAATAAAAATAAAAGATGTGGAGGATAGAAATTAGAAGCCCCAGTATTAATCTATGGGAATTCTAGAAGGTGAAAACAGAGATAAATAGGAGGAGCGGGGGTCAAGTAGAAAATAGCTGAGATTCTAGAACTCAGGACAGGACTCCTAATGTCAAAAGCTGTGCCAAATTCCAAGGGAAACAAACTAACAAGCAGAATAACACAGATGAAGTTATGGAAAGCCAAGGAAAAGAAGTTTTAAAACTTAAGAAAAAAACTAGTGAAAAAAATTTTTGAAGAAAGTCACAATCAGATTCCTCATTAGCAATTACAAATGTCAGAAAGCAACACAATGATATCTTCAAAGGGATAAGAAAGATAATTGAAAACTTAAACTTTTGTAACTAGCAAGTCCATCATTCAAGAGGGAGGGTAAATTAATACATTTCAAATGAATAAAATCTAAGATTTGACTACTCACTGAATCCTTGCTCAAAGAACTACTAAAGGATGTACTTTATCGAGAAGAGATGTGAATCCACAAAACAGTCTGCTGGTAGATTCACATAAAATTGGCTCTTAAACTTTTAATCATAACTCACTCTGGAGGGAAAGTTTAAAACATGATGAAATGTTAATACTTAATAACACATGGAAGGGGAAGGATGGAAGGGGCTTAGATGTCCTTGCCTTTTTGAGAATTAAGACAAACATATTTATTAGCTTGTTGCTTTATTTAAAATATAAATTTATGAATACATGTCAAAAATGTCATAACTACAAAAAATGGAGACTAAATATTTAACCTCAAAAATTATAGAAGAAAAGAAGACTTGATACAATAGAAGGCAGGAAAAAAGAACAAAAGGATAAGAGGAAAAAGTCATGGTAAATAGAAAACAAAAAAGTAGGTGGTAGAATGAATCCAAAAGTATTAGCCATCCAATAAATGTAAATAAACTCATCTATTTCTAAATAAAGACTCTGAAATTGGATGAAAAAGAAAATTGAGCCCATTGATGTTGCAAGAAACACCAAAAATTTAATAATCCAGAAAGACCATCACTAATTCAAAGAAAAGTGACATAGCAAAGTTCATATCAAAAAACAGAATAGAAGGAGAGCACTAATAGGATAAAGGAAGTTATTAATTAATGGTCACAGCCACACTCCAACATGAAGATGTGAAAGTAGTGAATCCATATACCTTTGAAACACAGCCTGAAGTATCAAAACAAAAATGGACCCAATTACACAGGGGAATGAATTGACAAACTCACAACGATAGCTGGAGATTTTAATGAACATGCCAGACACTGTTAGTTGCCCTCTTTTTTCACTTGCTACCAGAACATCATTCTCGGGGTGGGGGAGTCACTTGCTCCAGGAAGGCCTTGAGTTGGCATTTAGAAGTTCCTACCTAGAACTTCTAAGGCACGTTTTTCTTTGTTTCCCCAAAGATGTGTTTTACATGGACTGTGTTGATTTTTTTCCTTCCTCCTTATATAGCATTAAGAAGAAAAGAAAGAGCACTTGGAGGTCTGCTTGGAGATCCCTGAGGTTTTTCACAGGCACAATGTCCTTATTTGGGAGCCTCAAAATACCAGACTAACATTGCTCAAAGCAGCTTTGGGAAGAGGGCAGGTGTCTGAGATGCTGAGAGGCCAACTGAGCAGTTTTTTAGCTGGAGCCATGGGCCACACCAGGAACAAACCACTGGACCAAATTGACTCAGGACACCTGCTCTGGACCCAGTTTCTTCTCATGTCTCCTCACCCCTAACTCTGCCCACCACCTCCCACTTCCTCTCTGTTCCCCATCCCATCCCAGGTTTGTATTTAAATTTCTGCATAATGCATGTTCTCTGCATGTTCTGAAGTACTTTCCATCAAGTCCTTCATTTTAAAAGTGTTTCTTTTAAATGAAGCTGTGCATAACCTCTTTTTGAGGCTCTCTTTGGCTTTTCTTGCACAATTTTAAATTGACCAGGTCTACTTGCAAAAATAGACACTTTTTCTGCTCTTTGTTCTAAGTCTCCTTAATTTTGCTTCTCACATGGCATTTGTGCTTCAGTGAAACTTACCTCTGAGCTGTTGCCATGGTAACCACGGGTCTGCCTTAGTGAAACAAATCTGTGACATGTAAATAAATGGGGATCAGGGCAATGTATAGCAACTTTATTCACTCTATGTCTTACTGGCAATTTGTCATATTAAAAGCCACCATGATATTTGAATGTCCTTCACAGGTTTAATCAAATTAAATTTCCATTCATACAGAATACACCCTGGAATCAGGTACTATGGCTAAGGAAATCCATCGGTTCATTGTTATGTGTTGTGTTAGCTAGCTCCCAAGAGGAGAAGGCTAATACATCCTGGCTTCCCATCCTGGTAAGCCATCTATCCCTTATGCAATTCCCTTCCTCATTTTACTGGGGTTGGTCTTTGTGATCAATGCAATACAGCATGAGGAATGGAATGCCACTTCTGATATTAGGTTACAAAGACTGTGGCTTCCATCTCTCTCATATCACACACTTTGGGGAAGCCAGATGCTATTGCATGAGGACACTGAGGCAGTCAATGGAAAGTCTCATGGGACAAAGAATTAAAGTCTCTGGCTAATAACCAGTAAAGACCTGAGGCCTACCAACAACGATGCTGCCTGGCAGCAGGTCGCCCAACAGTTGAGCCTTCAGATGTGACTGCAGCCCTGGCCGACATCTTGACTTCAACCTCATCAGAGGCCTGGAGCCAGAACTACCCAATAAACTCCTCCTGGATTCTTGACTCACAGAAACTGAGATAACAAATGCTTGTTTAAGCTGCAAGTTCTGGGGTACTTTGTTTTGCAGCAATGGATAACCAGCACACCATTTTAAATTACAACAACATAAAGATATCACAAAACATACTTATTACCAAAGGTAAATTTAAAGTAATTTGATCTTTCTTTTGTTCAGGAGATACTTCTAGATCTCACAGTCTGAGGCTTATCACCATGAACGCTTAGTCTCCCCCACCAGCAGACTAATGGCTCCTTGCGAGTGGAGTGGGGACTTGTTCACTGGCACCCCTATTGCCAAACCCATGCTTGGTACATAGCGCATGCCTGGTGACTATGTCCCGAGTTGTTGACTTGACTGCACGGTAGGATCCAGGCATAGGCTCTGTGGCAGAGTCCCCACTGAGCCTAGACCAGGCTCCGGAAGGAGCTTTCCTGAATGAATTCTTTGCATTGTCTAATTGCCTATTTGTCTCTATTTCTTAAGAGTTAATAAAAGGGAATGAATTATTCATACACAGCAACAACATGGATGAATCTTAAAATAATTGTGCTTAGTGAAAGAAGCCAGACAAAAAAGATTACATACTGTATGAGTTCATCTACATATAATTCTAGAAAAGTCAAACTAATCTATAGTGACAGCAGATCAGTGGTTGCCTGAGGTGGGAGGTGGGGAGAGGGTGAGATTATAAGGGGCATGAGGAAACATTTGGGGACAATGATTATGTCCACTAAGAAAACCAAGGAGCAGGTGGGTCTAGAAGCATCTCCTGTCTCCGAATCCTGAGTTCTCTCCACTCTACTGTCATCCAGCCATTGGCTTCCTGCTGCTTACAAAAGGTCTTCAGCAGTATCAACAAAAAAATATTTTTTAAACAGAGAAGGAATTAGCTCTACTATGGCTTTCAATTGCTTAGATTCTGATGAAATGGAGATGTGCTTGCCCAATCTGAGTTTGTGCCGTGTCACAGATAAAATGGAGCTACTCAGCTGCTTAAACACAGAGGCTCCACTGCAAAGCCGTTTTAGCAGATGGGCCTTAGTACCCCAGCTGTCTCTCCACTGCCTGCGCCTTAGGCACTGCCCATGTACCTCTTGACCCCATGGAGCTCTTCGACTTCCTAGGGTCCCTATGCCCCTTCCTGCTAAGCATAGAAAAGGACATACAAAGGCTGCCACTTTCCCCAAGAACAATGAAAGTGTAAAGCAGGTAGTGTCTCCTCCGCTTGATTGAAATGGTTTCCTTTCTCTCTGCATTCTTCTTTTAAGCAGACTTTTTGAGTTCGGTGGGCACCTCTTCAGAGGACTCAGGAAGTTAGACTCCCTCACCAACATCTTTGCCTTTCAGACACACCCAGCTCAGTTCCCCCTTCTTTACCCTTCCTGTCTCCTTTCTTTTACTTGGATATTCATGTCTTTTGTATGAGGTTTGGCTTTCTCACTTTGGGGTCAGAGCAACCCAAGTTAAAGTCCTGGCTCCAAATGACCTTAAGTGTTAACACTCCTAAGGAAGCTTTAGCTTCCTGACCTGCAAAATGGGGATTAATAAGCTTGAGCTCAGAGGATTGTTATGAGAGTGAAATAGGATCGTGCATGTAAAGTTTAGTCCACCTACAGCTTAGATGCTGGCCTAAGGTTAGCCCAGCACCTGGTACCTAACGAGTGCTTAACACATGTTAAATATTAGATTTGATGAGTAGCAATGGATTATAATAGAGAACCAATGTGAACATGTGAACCTTCGTATTTCTCCATAGTAGATTTTGGACTTCCACCTATCAAATTTGCTATATGCATTTATCACATTCACTGGCCTACATGCAGCTTTCCACGTAATTTTTCCAATAAAATGAATTTGTTGTCCTTGTTATGGTTGTTACAACTCCTTGAACCACATTCCACATGAGAACTCTAAGTCCTAGCCAAAGTCTCTTAGCCATAAAGTCTCTTTCTTTATGGGAATATCAAAATACTGCTTAGCCATTCCAGCAACAATTTCCTATCCCAATATTAATACATATTATATTTAATAGTATAAACATATTTTATATTTAAACATATATTTTATATAAAACATTTTATATTTAAAATATTAAACATGTTTATATTAAATATATAATTTATAACATTTATTAATCATTTTATGCTTTTAAAAATAAATACATGCATTTTCAACATGGTAGCTAAAAAAACCAATATACCTCTCATTTTTCCTCATTATTATTTTGGATGCAGTTTTGCTCTTGTTGCCCAGGCTGGAGTGCAATGGCACAATCTTGGCTCACTGCAACCTCCAACCGCCTGGGCTCAAGTGATTCTCCTGCCTCAGCCTCCCGAGTAGCTGGGATTACAGGCATGCGCCACCACACCCGGCTAACTTTGTATTTTTAGTAGAGATGGGGTTTCTCCATGTTGGTCAGGCTGGTCTCAAACTCCTGACCTCAAGTGATACCCTGCCTCAGCCTCCCAAAGTGCTGGGATTACAGGTGTGAGTCACCATGCCTGGGCTCCTCATTATTTTTATTTTTACTTATGACTGGCCCAACTTACTTTCTAAGATTAGTGCCCAAATTATGAGAGCGAAGTTCTCAGAGGCTGACATCTCGAATAATTGAAGGCTCCTTGAAGCTACAAGCTTCTTGAGATGTCTGCCTCTAGGAACAGTATTCTTCCTTTTAATAGGTGGTAATTTTCCAGAGGCACTGGTAAAAGAGAGGGTGACCCCCATTCACAGAAGATATCAGTCAGGCCTGAAGCTCATATCTAATTCCTAGCAGAGTTAGGCAGGTGCAGGAAATACCCCTTTCTTTGATGGGATGGTTTCCTAGGACCAGCTCTTCCTTCCACTGTCTTTCTGGCATAACACTCATAACACTCAGACCTTGTTGAATTGGATCATATGCTGGTTTCTGTCTTTCAAAAGAAGGTGCAAATCCACATAGCTTTACATGGACCTAAGTCCTGGGCTAAGACCCAGATATTTTTCTGACATCTTTATACCAGTCTCTTATTTTCCAACAAATGTGGGTCCTTCAGCAACTTTTGATGATGGTGGACTGACTCAACAGGATTAAAAAAATATAGAGAACTTTATTGGTGTAAGTATTCAATATCTGTGTCTTATCTACTTGATGAACTTTGTTCTCTGATTTGTGACTGTGGCCACTTCCAGCCACCAAGTGACATTCAGTCTCACTTTTAAAAAAGATGATTATTAGAGTTCGGTGGCAACTCAAAGAAGCCTTTAAAAATCACAGCCAAGAAGCTTAGCCTTTGTGACAGGTGCTAGAAATTCAACTCAATTCAGTTCAATTCAAGACTGTTTTTTTGGGATGAATTCTGGCCAATTCAGAATTTCAGTTATCCCAATGTATAGAGATGGTGTTACATAGACAAGGACACTTAAACAACTGTTCAACCATTTGTACATCAATAACGTTAAGTAACTGGAAAGAAATGCCCTCTGAAATGACCAGGAGATCTCTAAACAACATTGAAGTTATCATCTCACGACTATATCAGTTTCTATTTTGCACTGACTTCGTGAAACTACTTTTGTGTTAAAATCACAGTGCAGGCAGACTGTCCCATCCAATCAGGAACATGTCTCTTGTCCAGTGGGAGGCCCCATAAGTCCCTGACAGGATCAGACTCCCAGCTGTGCTCATCATTACTTTGTTTACCCTTTAACCTAGTTTAAGGTTTATTAACTTAGTGAAGCTAAGGATTTTTCACTCAGTAACAATCAGCCTGCAGCCTAGAGATTCACCTGCTGTGACTGACAGAGCTGCCCCCACTTCCCAGGTGCCCTTAGAATTCCCTCTTCCCGCGGGCTTCTGAGGGAAACCCTCACTCAGTCACCTCGTGGGCTACACATCAGGCGCCCAGCACCTGTCAGAGTGTCTACTTAGTGCAAATAATCTTAGGCACGATTTATTAGAAGATTAGGAGGAACCCTTGGGGGAGATGCCTACTTCAAACCTGGTTTTATCTAACAGGAGAGAGCAGTTGATAAAATATAGAGCCGAAAAGAAACTTGGGATGAGCTGACCATTTTGTCACAAATTGTGAGCTAGTCAAGGAACCCAGGGGTCCCCAAAGTGGTAGGTATCCTCGGCACTAAAAGATTAATTTCTAGGTCTCAGCTAATGGCATAAGCTCCTTGAAGGGAAGACATTTCAAGAAAACTCTATTGCCTTGCAAATTAAACAAAGTGAGTTAAGAGAAAAAGAGTGACCCTTTTAGTCTAAATCAAATAATCCTGACGAGGAAGGTAAAAAAAATGTTAGAGACTTTGATAACTGAGATTAAGAATGAACACAGACTAAACACAATGTGGGCATCTAGATTGGATGCTGGAATGGAAAAAGGACACTGGTGGGAAAATTGGTTAAATCTCAACGAAGTCTGTAGTTTAGTTAGAAGTAATGTACCAGTGTTAATGTCTTAGTTTTAATACACGTGCCATGGTTACATAAGATGTTAACATTGGGAGAAACTGGGTGAGGGGTATAGGGAAACTCAATGCAGTATCATTTCAACTTTTCTGTAAATCTAAAATTATTCTGAAACAGAAAACATTATTAAAGAAAACGAACAAAGAAAACGGAAGAAGGACATACTCTAGGGATGACTATGAGAGAGCCACGATCTGTCAGGTCAGGGTCAGGAGGCCTAGTCAGGCAGGAGGCATCTTTGTGACATTTAAAACAAGAACAGGAATAGGAAAGGTGGATGGTGTGACATTGGTAAACGACACAAACAAGCTGAGGGTTGGGTGGAATGAGCACTGCTTGAGGGAATGGAGGGCCAAGACAGGTACTGAGACGGGAGAAGAGCCACCAGCTGCTCTGCATGGCTGACAGTTCCCTGCACGGGATGAAGCACCTTCCAGCCAAGTGAGATGACCTTTCAGAAACGAAGGTGGGAGAGGAACCAGAAGACTGGAGGTAGACACACATGAAGTTCACATTGAATCATGGGAACAATGCAGACGCCACAGATGATGACCCAGTGGGCTCCATGTGCATCCTGGGAAAGCACTGATACTGATAACCAGATGAGCCATCTGTGAACGCTTAGAAGGGAAGAGGACATCACAGGTGGCCAAAGCCCATTCACCCAAGAACAAGGGAGGCTGGACTGGCCTCAGACCCTTTTTGGACAATATTACTAAGCTCATAGATCGGGGTGGATGGGGACGTAGGCATAGTGTATTTGGGTTTCTAGAAGACAAAGGTTCTCATTATGACTTTGTGAACACAGTGTTCTTTTGAGGGCTATATGATAAGATAGTCAGTGAATTTAGTACCCAACAGAGTAATATTTAACAATAAAAAGGAATGAAGTATTGATACCTGCTACAACATAGATGGACCTTGAATTTATTATACTAAGTGAATGAAGCCAGACACAAAAATCTATGTATCGCATGATTCCATTTATATGAATTGTCCAAAATAAGCAAACCTATAGAGAGAAAAGGTAGATTAGTGGTTGTCAGGGGCTGGAGGTGAGGGATAGAGAAAGGAATGGGGAGTGAATGTGGGCCTCCTAATGAGTACACGATTTGCGTTGAAGAAATGTTCTGGAATTAGTTGTAATGGTTGCACAACTTGGTGACTATACTACAGAACACTGAACTATACACTCTTAAAAATGATACAAAACAAAACAAAAATCCCTGGGTAAACATATCCATTCCCTCACTGACCCACACCCACACCCACACCCCACTTAAAAAAAAAATCTGGTGGATACGTTCACTCTCTTGATTGTGATGATAGCTTCATGGATGCATGCATTCGTCAAAACTTACCAAATTACACACTTTAAATATGTGCAATGTATTGTATATCACATGTACCTGAATAAAGTTATTAGAAACAAAAAGAAGGACCTAGGGCTTTGCCTGGATCAGCAAGTACAGCAGGTATGACTGTTCAGCGAGAAGGTGAGGGTTGGTCTAAATGGCTGCTGAAGCTCTTATCAACCTTGAGAGGACATCTGCAGCATTAAAAGCATCCAAATAAAACAAATTTTGTTTGGTTTGGTTACAGGTTTGTTTTTTGTTTTAAATAATCATTTCCATGTTGACTTTGCTCACATTCTTCAGCCTCTGGGGCCTCCAGTGATCAACGCGTACGACCCTGAAAGTTCCAGATTCTGAATTCTGCATCCCTTCACGTTCTAATCTTGTTAGAAAAGATGTAGGGAAGTTTCAGTTAGACAGAGTGAGTAAATGATATGTATTTGAGGTGATGTATATGCTAATCAGCTTGATTCAATCACTCTGCATTGTATACATACATCATAACATCACTTTGTACCCCATAAATATATACAACTATTATTTTTTGACATAAAATCAATGTAGAGACTCTAAGTAAGAGGACTTAGGTGAGATTTTAATTTTTTAATTGACCTCTGAAAACAGATAACAATTTTTTTTTTACCATAACAGGGTGGCTTTTATGAACAGAATTATTGAATTGCAGAGAGCATTCCTGTCGCTAGTTTCAGGGAAGCTCCCATTTAAATGTCAATATTTGAAGACTAATTTTCATCCTTTTCTGGACTCATGGAAGCAAATATACTGGTAGCAAATTTCTGGTAACAAAATGTACTCATCAAATGATAGGAGAAATCTTATTTAGGGGCTGGTTTTCACTGTTAGGACTTAGAAGGTGTAGATTCTTGTGAAATGTCACTCATGGTCTCTCTGAAATTCTTCCTGAATGGGCCAACAGGATCTATCATTGTATCCGTGCTGAAACTTACGGGAAATACTCCACACTTTGAAGATTAAGATTAAGAAACAAGACAGACTTCTCTTTGAAGTCTCCTGCTTTTCTCTGAGCTACTTCCTTAATATATCCAAGACTCGGATTCCTCATCTATGAAAATTAGCATATATTGGCTCCTTTTCAGGCCAGTGGTGGGTAAATGATATATTAGCAGCAAGCAAGGAAAAACCACCTTGTGTTATTGGACACTTACTAAGAGAATCAGTTAGAGGAAAACCAAGAAGTTTACATCCAAGGGAATTTAATGCAGGATATTGGTTATGCAAACGACAGAGCAGCAAAGAAGTCCCAAACAGGGATGGCGAGGTTCCCAGCCATTGGCATCAGTAGGAAGCCACCACAACCTCTCAACTGGTGACACGGAGGGGGCTATGTTTTTGGAGTCCGAGAGCTAGAATCACTCCAAAGAGGATGGATCCACAATGAGCCTCTGGGATGGGAAGTGGAGCCATCAAGAAGCCATTTGGAGAAGATGCCGGGGTAAAGGGAGAGGAGGACACAAGCATCTTGCTTCTTCCTTCCTCCCACCCTGCAGCTGCCAGCCCTTGTCTCCCTTAGATTGAACCTGTATGGGAAGCCACATGACTTGGGGGCCTGAGAAGCAGAGCCTGCAGGAGCCAGGCCTGCTGTCTTGAGGCCAAGAGGGGAAGGGTGTGCATGGATCTGAGGGATCGCAAGCCAGGGCCAGCGCACTGGGGGCCTTGAAGCTTATTAAGTAAGTCAGGGGCTGCGCATTGCGACTGTCATCTGCAAGTGGCTCAGTTGACGTTCCCCTTCTTCTACTCACTCCCCACCTGCCAACCTAAAGTGAACATTGATTTTATTGTTCCGTGGGCAAGTCATAACTCTGTGCACTGTTTATTATTCTATCTGTAGGTCTGTATCAGCATGGACTTGCTGTCAGATTTCCTAGAAGGCAGAAGTGTGATCTGGTTACCGTGCATGCTACCCATCCTGTGCTCTGCATTGGGTTTGATGAATGGCCCCTGTTCTTGTCATTTGGCTCTGCCCTGTCTAGCCATTTTCTCTTAGGCACCACTGCCTCCATCTGTTTCTGCTCTCTGCTCAAGGGAGCTTGTGAAGTGTTGCCAAGACCCCTCCAGCCTGAACCCTGAGTGGGAGGCAGCCTGCCTGCTGGTTGACTATGAAGTCTTTCAAGCCAGTAGACTTCCATTTAACCTTGGAGAAAAGTGATTTGCTAAATGATTTCTTAGCAGCCTGCATAAGTAATATCTGGCAAGAATGAAATCTTTGCAGCAAGACCGTCAGTCCCTACTGCCCTTTCTCAGCTCCTGGCACTTGGGTCTTGGAGCCTCCTTTTGCAGCCTCAGTCCTGAGGCAATCTTGAGGGGGAATATGTTAATTATCTCATCGCAAGATCTGGAATCCAGTCTTGTTGCATCAAGTCCACAGCACCTGGCTCAGCAATGTGCCCTGTGATCCCGTGTAGACATCAGGTGTAGCTCTTCCTTCCTTTTGCTGTCAGTGAGTATAAAGAGATGCTGGAAGCAGACCCCATGGTACCTGGCAACCGAATGGATGCTCCACTCTCCCAATCACTACTGTGCACCTATCACCCTCTACTTAACTTTAATTTTAATACCCAGTTGTTCATTGCTTCCATATAGAAATACAATTGGTTTTGGCATATTGATGTTGGATTCTGTGACCTTGATAATCTCACTTATTAGTTCTAATAGATTTTGTGTAGATTATTTGGGGTTTTCTACGTAGGCAGTTATGTCATTTACAAATAGAAATAATTTTCTTTCTTCCTTTTTCTTCAGGTGACTTTTATTTCACTTTCTTGTCTTATTTCACTGGCTAGTAAGTCCAGTACAATGTTGAATGGGAGAGGTAAGAACAGACAGTCTTGCTTTGTTCTTGTTCTTGGGGGAAAAGCATTCAGTCTTTGATCATTAAGTATGATGTTAGCTGTAGTGTTTTTCAAAGATGTTCTTTATCAGTTTGAGGAAATTACTTTTAATTCCTAGCTTGCTGAGAGATTTTAACACAAATGGTGGTTGGATTTCATCAACTGCTTGCTCTGCATCTATGGACATGGTCATATTCTTAAGTCTGTTTATAGAGAATGACATGGATTAATTTTTGAATGTTGACTCAACTCTACTTGAACTCTAAACCTCTTGTCCACCTGAAAGCAGGGGCAATCATTGCTTACATCCAAGCATTGTTTGTTTTGTTTTTCATGAGTATTTAAAATCATATAATGTATAGGTGGGCGTTCCAAGATGGCCAAATAGTAACAGCTCTGGTCTGCAGCTCCCAGTGTGATCGATGCAGAAGATGGGTGATTTCTGCATTTCCAACTGAGGTACATGGTTCATCTCACTGGGACTGATTGGAGAGTGGGTGCAGCCCATGGAGGGTGAGCTGAAGCAGGGTGGGGCGTCGCCTCACTCGGGAAGTGCAAGGGGTCAGGGGATTTCCCTTTCCTAGCCAAGGGAAGCTGTGACAGACTACCTGGAAAAATGGGACACTCCTGCCCAAATACTGTGCTTTTCCCAAGGTCTTAGCAACTGGCAGACAAGGTTATTCTCTCCCGTGCCTGGCCCGGCGGGTCCCATGCCCACGGAGCCTTGCTCACTGCTAGCACAGCAGTCTGAGATTGACCTGCGAGGCCGCAGCCTGGCAGAGGAAGGAGCATCCACCATTGCTGAGGCTTGAGTAGGTAAACAAAGTGGCTGGGAAGCTTGAACTGGGCAGAGCCCACTGCAGCTCAACAAGGCCTACTGCCTCTAGACTCCACCTCTGTGGGCAGGGCATAGCTGAACCAAAGGCAGCAGACAACTTCTGCAGACTTAAACGTCCCTGTCTGACAGCTCTGAAGAGAGCAGTGGTTCTTCCAGCACAGCATTTGAGCTCTGAGAATGGACAGACTGCCTCCTCAAGTGGGTCCCTGACCCCTGTGTAGCCTACCTGGGAGACACCTCCCAGTAGGGGCCAACAGACACCTCATATAGGTGGCTGCCCCCTGGGATGAAGTTTCCAGAGAAAGGATCAGGCAGCAATATTTGCTGTTCTGCAATATTTGCTGTTCTGCAGCCTCCACTGGTGACACCCAGGCAAACAGGGTCTGGAGTGGATCTCCAGCAAACTCCAACAGACCTGCCACTGAGGGACCTGACTGTTAGAAGAAAAACTAACAAACAGAAAGGAATAGCATCAACATCAACAAAAAGGTCATCTACACCAAAACCAACATCAAAGACCAAAGGTAGATAAAACCACAAAGATGGGGAGAAACCAGAGCAGAACAGCTGAAAATTCTAAAAATCAGAGCGCCTCTTCTCCTCCAAAGGATCTGCAGCTCCTCACCAGCAATGGAACAAAGCTGGACGGAGAATGAATTTGACAAGTTGACAGAAGTAAAGGAGGATGTTCGAACCCATCGCAAGGAAGCCTAAAACCTTGAAAAAAGATTAGACAAATGGCTAACTAGAATAAACAGTGTAGAGAAGACCTTAAGTGACCTGATGGAGCTGAAAACCATGGCACGAGAACTTTGTGATGGCGTACACAAGCTTCAATAGCTGATTCAATCAAGTGGAAGAACGGGTATCAGTGAATGAAGATCAAATTAATGAAATAAAGTGAGAAGACAAGGTTAGAGAAAAAAGAGGAAAAGAAATGAACAAAGCCTTCAAGAAATATGGGACTATGTGAAAAGACCAAATCTATGTTTGATTGGTGTACCTGAAAGTGATGGGGAGAATGGAACCAAGTTGGAAAACACTCTTCAGGATATTATCCAGGAGAACTTCCCCAACCTAGAAAGGCAGGCCAACATTCAAATTCAGGAAATACAGAGAACACTGCAAAGATACTCCTTGAGAAGAGCAACCCCAAGACACATAATTATCAGATTCACCAAGGTTGAAATGAAGGAAAAAGTGTTAAGGGCAGCCAGAGAGAAAGGTCGAGTCACCCACAAAGGGAAGCACATCAGATTAACAGTGGATCTCTTGGCAGAAACCCTGCAAGCCAGAAGAGAGTGGGGGCCAATATTCAACATTCTTAAAGTAAAGAATTTTCAACCCAGAATTTCATATCCAGCCAAACTAAGCTTCATAAGTGAAGGAGAAATAAAATCCTTTACAGACAAGCAAATGCTGAGAGATTTTGTCACCACCAGGCCTGCCTTTCAAGAGTCCCTAAAGGAAGCACTAAACATGGAAAGAAACAACTGGTACCAGCCACTGCAAAAACATGCCAAATTGTAAAGACCATCAATGCTGGGAAGAAACTACATCAATTAATAGGCAAAATAACCAGCAAACATTATAATGACAGGATCAAATTCACACATAACAATATTAACCTTAAATGTAAATGGGCTAAATGCTCCAATTAAAAGACACAGACTGGCAAATTGGATAAAGAGTCAAGACCCATCAGTGTGCTGTGTTCAGGAGACCCATCCATGTGCAAAGACACACATAGGCTCAAAATAAAGGGATGGAGGAAGATATACCAAGAAAATGGGAAGCAAAAAAAAGCAGGGGTTGCAATCCTAGTCTCTGATAAAACAGACTTTAACCCAACAAAGATCAAAAGAGACAAAGAAGGCCTTTACATAATGGTAAAGGGATCAATTCAACAAGAAGAGCTAACTATCCTAAACATATAAGCAACCAACACAGGAGCACCCAGATTCATAAAGCAAGTCCTTAGAGACCTACAAAGAGACTTAGACTCCCACACAATAACAATGGGAAACTTTAACACCCCACTGTCAGTATTAGACAGATCAATGAGACAGAAGGTTAACAAGGATATCCAGGATCTGAACTCAGCTCTGCAACAAGCAGACCTAATAGACATCTACAGAACTCTTCACCCCAAATCAACAGAATATACATTCTTCTCAGCACCACATCACACTTATTCTAAAACTGACCACATAATTGGAAGCAAAGCTCTCCTCAGCAAATGTAAAAGAACAGAAATCACAACAAACTGTCTCTCAGACCACAGTGCAATCAAATTAGAACTCAGGATTAAGAAACTCACTCAAAACCGCACAAGTACATAGAAACTGAACAACCTGCTCCTGAATGACTACTGGGTAAATAATGAAATGAAGGCAGAAGTAAAGATGTTCTTTGAAACCAATGAGAACAAAGACACAATGTACCGGAATCTCTGGGACACATTTAAAGCAGTGTGTAGAGGGAAATTTATAGCACTAAATGACCACAAGAGAAAGCAGAAAAGATCTAAAATCAACACCCTAACATCACAATTAAAAGAACTAGAGAAGCAAGAGCAAACAAATTCAAAAGCTAGCAGAAGGCAAGAAATAACTAAGATCAGAGCAGAATTGAAAGAGACAGAGACACAAAAAACCCTTAAAAAAAATCAATGAATCCAGGAGCTGGTTTTTTGAAAAGATCAACAAAATTGATAGACCACTAGCAAGACTAATAAGAAAAGAGAGAAGAATCAAATAGATGCAATAAAAAATGATAAAGGGGTTATCACCACCGATCCCACAGAAATACAAACTACCATCAGAGAATACTATAAACACTTCTATGCAAATAAACTAGAACATTTAGAAGAAATGGATAAAATCCTGGACATATGCACCCTCCCAAGACTAAACCAGGAAGAAGTTGAATCTCTGAATAAACCAATAACAGGCTCTGAAATTGAAGCAATAATTAAGAGCCTACCAACCAAAAAAAGTCCAGGACCAGACAGATTCACAGCTGAATTCTACCAGAGGTACAAAGAGGAGTTGGCACCATTCCTTCTGAAACTATTCCAATCAATAGAAAAAGAAGGAATCCTCCCTAACTCATTTTCTGAGGCCAACATCATCCTGATACCAAAGCCTGGCAAAGACAACAAAAAAAGAGAATTTTAGACCAATATCCGTCATGAACATCAATGCAAAAATCCTCAGTAAAATACTGGCAAACAGAATCCAGCAGCACATCAAAAAGCTTATCCACCATGAACAAGTTTGCTTCATCCCTAGGATGCAAGGCTGGTTCAACATATGCAAATCAATAAACGTAATCCATCACATAAACAGAACCAATGCAAAAACCACATGACTATCTCAATAGATGCAGAAGAGGCCTTCAACAAAATTCAACAGCGCTTCATGCTAAAAACTCTCAATAAACTAGGTATTGATGGGACATATCTCAAAATAATAAGAGCCATTTATGACAAACCCACAGCCAATATCATACTGAGTGGGAAAACTGGAAGCATTCCCTTTGAAAACCAGAACAAGACAAGGATGCCCTCTCTCACCACTCCTATTCAACATAGTGTTGGAAGTTCTGGCCAGGGCAATCAGGCAAGAGAAAGAAATAAAGGGTATTCAATTAGGAAAAGAGGAAGTCAAATTGTCCCTGTTTGCAGATGACATGATTGTATATTTAGAAAACCCCATCGTCACAGCCCAAAATCTCCTTAAGCTGATAAGCAACTTCAGCAAAGTCTCAGGATACAAAATCAATGTGCAAAAATCACAAGCATTCCTATACACCATTAACAGACAAACAGAGAGAACTCCCACAAAAATGGGAGTTTCACAAAAATTGTGAACTCCCATTCACAATTGCTACACAGAGAATAAAATACCTAGGAATCCAACTTACACGGGATGTGAAGGACCTCTTCAAGGAGAACTACAAACCACTGCTCAATGAAATAAAAGACGGCACAAAGAAATGGAAGAATATTCCATGCTCATGGATAGGAAGAATCAATATTGTGAAAATGGCCATACTGCCCAAAATAATTTATAGATTCAATGCCATCTTCATCAAGCTACCAATGACTGTCTTCACAGAATTGGAAAACACTACTTTAAAGGTCATATGGAACCAAAAAAGAGCCTGCATTGCCAAGACAATCCTAAGCAAAAAGAACAAAGCTGGAGGCATCACACTACCTGACTTCAAACTATACTACAAGGCTACAGTAACCAAAACAGCATGGTACTGGTACCAAAACAGAGATATAGACCAATGGAACAGAACAGAGGCCTCAGAAATAACACCACACATCTACAACCATCTGATCTTTGACAAACCTGACAAAAACAAGAAATGGGAAAAGGATTCCCTATTTAATAATGGTGCTGGGAAAACTGGCTAGCCATATGCAGGAAGCTGAAACTGGATCCCTTCCTTACACCTTATACAAAAATTAATTCAAGAGAGATTAAAGACTTAAATATTAGACCTAAAACCGTAAAAACCCTAGAAGAAAACCTAGGCAATACCATTCAGGACATAGGCATGTGCAAGGACTTCATGACTAAAATACCAAAAGCAATGGCAACAAAAGCCAAAATAGACAAATGGGATCTAATTAAACTAAAGAACTTCTGCATGGCAAAAGAAACTACCATCAGAGTGAACAGGCAACCTACAGAATGGGAGAAAATGTTTGCAATCTACCCATCTGACAAAGGGCTAATATCCAGAATCTACAAAGAACTCAAACAAATTTGCAAGAAATTAATAACCCCATCAAAAAGTGGGCAAGGGATATGAACAGACACTTCTCAAAAGAAGACATCTATGCCACCAACAGACACACGAAAAAATGCTCATCATCACTGGTCATCAGAGAAATGCAAATCAAAACCACAATGAGATACCTCTCACGCCAGTTAGAATGGCAATCATTAAAAAGTCAGGAAAAAACAGATGCTGGAGAGGATGTGGAGAAATAGGACCGATTTTACACTGTTGGTGTGAGTGTAAATTAGTTCAACCATTGAGGAAGACAGTGTGGCGATTCCTCAAGGATCTAGAACTAGAATTACCATTTGACCCAGTGATCCCATTACTGGGTGTACACCCAAAGGATTATAAATCATGCTACTATAAAGACACGTGCACCCGTATGTTTATTGTGGCACTATTCACAATAGCAAAGACTTGGAACCAACCCAAATGTCCATCAATGATAGACTGGATAAAGAAAATGTGGGACATATATACCATGGAATACTATGCAGCCATAAAAAAGGATGAGTTCATGTCCTTAGCAGGGACATGGATGAAGCTGGAAACCATCATTGTCAGCAAACTATCACAAGGACAGAAAACCAAACACCACATGTTCTCACTCATAGGTGGGAATTTAACAACGAGATCACTTGGACACAGGGTGGGGAACATCACATACTGGGGCCTCTCGGTGGGTGAGGGGTGGGGGCTGGGGGAGGGATACCATTAGGAGAAATACCTAATGTAAATGATTAGTTGATGGGTGCAGCAAACCAACCTGGCACATGTATACCTATATATCAAACCTGCACGTTGTGCACATGTACCCTAAAACTTAAAGTATAATTTAAAAAAAAGGAAAAAAGAAAATAAAATCATATAATACATGTAGAGCACTCAGCAACATCTGACAAACGGCAAGGCTGTAATAAACTGCAGCAGATATCATCATGGAATTACTAGCTCTTGCAAGAATCCCCACCCTCCACCCTCACCCAGGGCTGGATTGTGTCACTCAATGGCTGTGCCTACTGCGTAGATCTGGGGCATGCAGAACACACCTGCATCCAACCTGGCTCCTGATATTTCACCATGGCCTGAATTTCCTACTGTTGTGCTCTATTCCACAAGATTGGCCTTTCCAGCACCAAGGACTTTCCTGGACCACATTTGAGCTGGCCCTATCTTGTGCACCGTCATTTGGAAGGCTGGCTGCCCTCACAGAGCAACCTCTGTATCTGGGCTGTTTTTCCCTGCACCCTGCCCTGACTGCACAAACCAATTTGGGTGTCTTCAGCTGCAAATAATAGAAAAGCCAATGCAAAATCTCTTCCTTAGCTCATACAACCAGAAATCTGGCAGTAAAGCAGGCTTGCAGACTTTCAGTGGGTCAATGATGTTCTCAAGAACTGTGTTCCTCCCTGTTTCTCTTTGGATGTCCTCTGTCAGTCCAAGCTCAGGCTGGTGTGTCCCC
This sequence comes from Homo sapiens, assembly GCF_000001405.40. Taxonomy (NCBI): domain Eukaryota; kingdom Metazoa; phylum Chordata; class Mammalia; order Primates; family Hominidae; genus Homo; species Homo sapiens. Next base: position 3,671,575 of record NC_000006.12, on the reverse strand, counting down.
CTTGTGGGTATTGTCTGGCAGCTGGTGGCATTCCTAGCTACATGTTGGCTCACCTTCAGTGGGAGAGTGTCTTTCCTCCAACCATAGAAGAAGGATCTTCTCTTCGTCTGCCTGGGACATTTGGTTACTCTCTTGCTTCTGACCAGTATCTGTTGCAGTGGGAATCCTATTTATGAACTCCCTTAGGCCTGGATTCCCAAACCCAACACTGGAAAGGGGGATTAGTAAACCACCGTTAACAACTCGGGGAGGCAAAGTCAGTTCCTCACACTGCACTGATGCTGTACAGTGAGGGCAGAGGGGAATGGACGCAAGAGAGTCACCTGCAAAGCCCACTCCCTCCCATGCAGCCAGGACCCCAGCATACTGTGCTCTGGGTCCTGCGCCAGCCACTACAAAATCCCAAATGGCAATTGTTAGATTTAACTGAAAATCCATATGTGTGGAAATTTTTATATTACCCACGGAAGAAGGGTGAAATTTTTCCCAAATATGCTTATTCCTTTCTGCCAAACTTTTCAAAGAAGAGTCTTTTATGGACTGTCTCCTCTTTCTCCCCATACTCATACATTTATGTACCCTGGCCTTTGAAAAATGGCTAGTATTTAAAACACTTCTCTAAAACTGATCTTAGGTCACCAATAAAGTCGTAATTCCTCAATCCAACATCCTGTTCCTTTCTCCTGGCCCAGTGGTTCTCAACCTTGGTTGCACATTAGAATCTCTTAGGCACCTTTTAAAACTTCAGATGCCAAGCTGTACCCAGAAAAATTCAATTAATTTACAATCTCTGGGAGCATTCATTATTATGTAATCTTCTTCAGGCGACATCCATATCAGCTGAGGAGGGGCACCACTGATGGGCCTAGACATTCCCTCTGTAGCATCCAGGGTGTGGCTTCATCCTTTTTTGCCTGGGACTGTTCAAGTTTTAACATTCAGTGTTTTGCATTTCAGAAACCCCTCAGCCCTGAGTCCACCCAGACAGCTGGTTGCTCCAAGTAGCACCTGCCCCAGTGGTTCTCCACCCTGATTTCAAATTAGAATCACTTAAGAAGCTTTAAAAAACTACCAGTGATAAAGCACTATCCCCAAGAGAAAGTTTCAGTTAGTCTAGTCTGGGTCCAAGCACCAGTTATTTTTCTAAGCCTCCTTTCTAAAATCCTACATGATTTTAATAGACAACTAGGGTGAAGAGCCATTCATTTGCACCAGCTGTTCTCAAAATGAGGCCCCCCCCCCCACCCCCTCCCCACCCCAACCCAGACCAGCAGCAGCATCTTCACCAGGAAACTTGTTAGAAATGCAAATTCTCAGGCCTTACCCCAGACCTGCTGAGTCAGAACCTCTCGGGGGTGGGGCCCAGCTGTCTGTGTTTTCAGGAGTTCTGCTTTAGGTGAGTCTAATGCATGCTCAAGTGTGAGAACCACTGACAGACAGTGCGGACCTGGCTCATCTTTCAGCACATTCTGACTTTGTTTGAATGGTTGTTTACATTATCAGTCCATCTTACATACAATTTAAATGCCCTGCTGGGAGCACAGATCGTTCGTGTACTGTTCCTGACTCCTAGTACAGGGCCTGGCCCTGATTAAGCCCCGATATGGAATAGGTGTTTGTTTAAATGGTTGCCTTTCAGTAGAGTCACACTTTGCTAGAATGGAACTCCAGCCCTGAAACTGCTCCTTTGGCTGGCCTGACAATCTAACACTAGCTCTCCACCAGCAATTGTGCTGCCCGTCACACACCATGAGGGGAACCTCAGGGGGAAAAATCCCGAGTCAGGGGTTTATAGCACTGATGTTACCAGCACAGAGTTGGGAACAAAAGACTGACTGAGATCACTTTGCTGCTCTGCTAGTTATCTGGCAATTCTTTAAGCTTCCTGTCCATTAGTGTCTTGACCTAAAAGGAAGGGAATAATAATAATGATAATAATAATAATAATAATAATAATAATAATATTTGCCTCTTAACAGTTGTTGTGGACCAAAATAAAGGAATATATGTAACACCCCATCTTTTGGGGCCAGCTTATCTCTGGGCCTCTGGAATGGCTTCATACTCTCCCTATATCTGGATCTTCCCCAGAAAGAGTTCTAGTTGCTCCACAGCCAATCAACACTTGATATTGTCAATCTTTTCAGTATTAGCCATGTGACTGGGGGTGAAATGGTATCTCATTGTGGTTTTAATTTTTATTTCCTGGATGACTAGTTTTCTTGACCGTCTTTTCGTGTTCATATTGGTCATTTGACTCCTTTTGCAAAGTGTCTCTACTGGCTTTTGCCTATTTAAAAAAATTGAGTCTACTTTTTATTGAATTGTAAGAGTTCTTTACACATTCTGGATACAAGTCCTTTCCCAGATATAGATGATCGATAGATAGATGGATAGATAGATAATTTTCTCCTACCCTATGGATTGACTTTTCATTTTCTTAACAGTATATTTCAGAGAGCAGAAAATTTTAATTTTGATAAAGTCCAATTCATCAATTGTTTTCCTTATATGACTAATGCTTTTTGTCCTGTGTAAGAAAATTTTGCCTGTGCCCATGTTGCAAATATTTTGCTTTATGTTTTTGTTCTAGGTGTTTTATGGTTTTATCTTTTATTTTTATGTCTATAATTCACATAGAATTAACTTTTTATATGGGATGAAAAAGGAGTTGTAGTTCAATTTTTAAAATATGAACATCTACTTTGTCAGCCATGGTTGTTGAAAAGACTATCCTTTGCCCACTGAATGACCTTGACATCTTTATCAAAAATTAATTACTCACAGATGCACGAGTCTTTTTCTGGATTCTATTCTGTTCCGTTGATTTATATACCTATTCTTATGCTAGTACCATACTGTATTGATTACTGTAACTTTATAGTAAGTTTTACAATCAGGAAGTGCAAGCCCTTCAACTTTGTTTATGTTTTTCAAAATTGTCCTGGTTATTCTAGATTATTAGTATTTTTATATGAATTTCAGAATCTGCTTGTCAATTTCTAGCAAAAGAAATTGGGATTGTGTTTATCTATAAATGAGTTTGGAAAAATGAACATCCTAGCAGTTCATCAATATCATATACATTTCTCCATGTATTTAGATATTTTTAACTTCTCTTGGCAATGTTTTCTCATTGTCTACATAGAGGTCTTGTGCATATGTTATTAAATTTATCCCTATTTTATGTTTTTGATGCTATTATTAATGGTATTTTAAAATTACTTTTTCAATACTGCTGCTAGAAAATACAAACATGTTTTCATATACTGACCTAGACACAATTATATTATCTCCAAAAAATGATAGCTTTACTTTTTCTTTTCCTGCATGTCCTTTATTTCTTTTTCTTGTCTTTTTTCATTGCTAAGACTTCAGTACAACATTGAATAGAAATAGGAACCAACATCTTTAGCTTGTTTCTGGTCTTAGGAGAAAATGTTCAATATTTCAGTGTTAAATTTTGAGGTGATGATATAATTTTTCTCATTTATACTGTTGGAGTGGTCAGTTACATGCATTGATTTTCAAATGTTGCAACAACCTTGTATTTCCATCTCACTTGGTCATGGTGAATTGCCTTTTCTTATACACTGCCAGACTTAATCTGCTCATATTGTATTGTTGATATTTACATTTATGTTCATGATGAATACTGGTCTGCAGTTTTCTTTTCCTGTAGTGCCTTTGTCTGTGTGTGGTATCAGGGTTATTTCAGGCTCATAAAAAGCAATGGAATGAAATAATTTTCTCTCTGTTTTCTAAGAGATTGTATCAGATAGGTATTATTTATTCCTTAAAATTTAATATTTATCAGTGAAACTATCTGAGCCCAGAGTTTTCTTTCAGGGAAGGTTTTAGATTATGAATTAAATTCCTTAAATATATAGACTATTCATATGTGCAATTCCTTCTTGAGATGGTTTTTATTAGTTTTGTTCAAGAAACGTTTCCATTCTATCTGAGATATGCATTTTATTGGCATAAAGGCATTCATTACATCCCCTTATTATCATTCTAGTGTCTACATTCCCTTATTATCATTCTAATGCTACTTGCTCTTTCATTTCTGATATCGATCATTTGTGTTTTCTCTTCTTGATTAGCATTTCTAGGGCCTTATCAACTTCATAAATCTTTTCAAATAATGAGTTTTGGTTTTGTTAATTTTCTCTATTATTAATCTTTGTCTTCTACTTCATTGACTTCAGCTTTTTTCCAGTTATTTCTTTATTTCTGCTTAACTTTGAGTTTAACTTGCTCTTCTTGTTCTAACTTCTTAATGTGGAAACTTAGATCATGATTTTGAACCTTTTTTCCTTTCTAACATAGGCTTTTAAAGCTATAAAATTCCCTCTCCATACTGCATTAGCTGCATCCCAGAAATGTTGATGTCTTGTGTTTTCATATCATCCAGTTAGAAGTTACTTTCTAGTTTCATTTGTGATTTTCCCTTTGACCCGTGGGTTCCTTAGATGGGTTTTTAATTTCCAGGTATTTGGGAGGATAATCTGGATATTTTATTACTGATCCCTGATTAAATTCTATGGTAGTCAGAGACCATATCTTGTAAAATTTCAAGCTTTGGACGATTTTTAAGACTTATTTAATCAACCAGTATAGAGTCTGGGTTAGAAAACATTCTATGTGCACTTGAAAGAAATGAATATGTATTCTATACAGTATAGTGTTTTGTACATATTGATTAGGTTAGAATAGTTGATAATGTTGGTAAAATCTATTTCCTTACTGATTTTTTAAAAAACCTGATTTGTTCTATCAATAGTAGAAGGGAGTTGTCAAATTTCATAGCACAACCCTGGAACTTTCTATTTCTCCTTTTATTTTTTATCAGTTTTTCCTTCATGTATTTTAACATTCAGTCACTTAAGACAGCTATGCCTCCTGATGAATTATCATTTTTATTCTTATTAGAACATGGCCTTCATGAGGTCATGGACTTCATTTGTTCTGTACAGAACAGCGCCTGACACATAAGAGATATCTGTTAGATGAATGCCCACCCACCTGATCTCATCCTCCCAAGCACCCTGTTAGGTAGTTATCACCCCATTTCATGGATGAGGAAGCAGACTTAGAGAGAGTGAGTCACTTCTCCAAGCTGCTTTCTATGTAGCTACTCCCCGCTTTTCTTTCTTCTCTCCATCTCCCTTGGGTAAGTAGTAGTTGTGAAGACTGAGCAATGGGCCCACAACAAGATTCATTTACAGCTCACAGAAGATGCAGTCTACCCTAAGTATTCCCTGCCTCATCTATGTACCTCCAATCTCTACAAAAGCATCAGGCACGGATGTTACTACTACTAGTACTACTATTCATATTACTGCCCAGTACTGTGATTCCAAGCACACTTGTAGGAATCCCCAAGGTTCCTCACAAGTTCCCTGAGCACAAACACCAGGGAGATAGTTGAGTCATTGAGCTCGTATCAAACTCCCTGGCATTGTATAAATTAACAGGAAGCGTTTACCCTTTTAAAATGGTTGGATGGTAAATAGAATGTGCATTGTGACACCAGAGACCCTTGAACATCTTGGAATCCTCTCATCTCCAACCAGAGGCTGATGCATTTTCTAGAGGCACTGGACTTCTGGGCCCTGTGGGGCCAGCAGCAACCTCTCTGATGAGTAGGCTGGGGTTGGCCAAGGCCAGGTGCTCCCAGCCCCAGAGCTCTGGGTCTTCCCCTGTAGGGCACAGTGCCTGCAATTAACACAAGCTTCTGGGAGCTCACTCCCAGAAAAAAAGACTTCTTTGAATTCTGCTCCCAGCTTAGGGTCAGCTAATGCCATCTGTGGTGGCTGGTACAGGGTGATAATCGGCTCTGAAGCCATCTCTTTGAGCCCTAGGATAGATGCCAGTCTGCACCAGAGCAGGCAGAATATCCAGGCTGCAGCCCTGCCAGGAATTGCTCTCAGGAAATAGAACACCCCCACCCCCTCTTTTCTTTTGTTTAAACTTAAACTGGGAAGATGCTGAGTTGCAGGGTTATGAGGAAGGGAGTATAGGACTGTTGCAGCTTTATATGCTGATATTTTCATTTTTTTAAATTCCTGATCATGAAAAAAGCAATACAAGAGTGATTTTTAAAATAATCACTTTGCATTCTTGTCAGAGCAATGGATTGCAAAGCGACAGTGACCCGACATTGCCTCCAAATGTTCCAGCCTCTGCCCTCCTTAGCGCCTGATCTGTCTCTGGTTGAGGCGGACTCTGCTGTTTGTCCAACATGGGGCAATGCTGGCTATTTCTCTGTAGGAATCCAAGCGCTTATTAGGAGAAGGTGGAGGGGTATGATGGGAACAGCTCCAGACGAGATGGGAGAGCTTTGGGGTAAAACCTTTATGAAGATTAGAAAGCAAGTCTCCCTCATGTTGCAAACCCCATAGTGATTTTATGGCAGCTTGGAAGAGAGGATTCCAGAGACAAATTGCTTTTGAGAGGGTGGACGCTGGGCCATACGTTTATCACTGGGCAGGTGAGTTATCTTGAAGAAAAGGATCAAGTGGAAACCAGGTCTAGCAAAACAAGCCTGACCCTTAAGTGGGGCCAGCCCTGGGAAATTCCGTGCCGTCATGCGTCGGAGCCCAGAGGCAGCGCAAGCAGTTTTCATAGAAGCCTGCGAAATCCAGACAGAGCTCACTAGCCAGATTGACTTTCCTGTTCATTTGCAGGGTAGAGTGAACGGTGTTGACATTACAAACATTCCATCTTCACTGATTTAAAGACAAGGAGTTCTGTTTACTTTCACCCTAAACAAAGAGGCTCCTTCTTGCTCAGCTGGAAGGAGCCATCCCTGAGTTGCTAAATATCACATAAATCTCATGACGTGACAGAAACCCAGGCCTCCTGGAGCTCATCACCAACTTTTTGCAACCAAGACTCCCAGTAATGCTAATTATGCAAATATCCTGCTTTCCCCACATACTGAGTGGACTTGATAAGTTTTCTTTTAATAATTTGCTGAGAATCTGCAATGCTGTAAGTACTTTATAATCATTACTTAATTTAATCCTCACAATTGTCCTCTGTAGTGAGATGAAGAAAATTGTAGTCACTAAATTTCCACCTAGGAAGAGAATTGCACTTATTTAGAAATCATGCCTTGAAAACTGCTTGGGTTAGAAGGTAGATCCCTGAACTCTCCAAGAGTAAGAACAGTGGACCTTCTGCAGGTGAAACTGGAGAAAAGGTAGATGAGAAAGAAAGAGAGCGAGAGTAAGACAGAGAGCGAGCACAAGAGAACACAGAAGGCCCCTTCCACCACCCCAAATCTTCAGCAAATTCTACATAAATCATGAAACTCTTAATGCGAGTAGATTTCTGTTTTTCTTTTTTAATTCAAAACTGTCAGGGGGCTGGGTTCTGTAGTCAGAGTCTTGTGATAAAAACAGACAGAGCGTTAGAGGACACAGGGGTGTGGTGGTCTAGGGAGCCCAAGGAGGTCAGATCTGGGAACATCCAGAGAGTGAGAGATGCTGCAGACACCACAGGGTCTGGAAGGTGTGTTTGGACGAAATTTACCCAGTCTGTGAGGCGCATGGAGGCCCTGGAAAGGCTCCGGGTCCATGTCTATGGTAGACGTTTCCTGCTGTCATGGGTCACCTGCATTTTTGAACATCCTCTCTGTGTTTGGGTCTCCCCCACCTCAGGAGTCCACCTGTCCCGAGTTGGAAGTCTGAACTCATGTTCCTGGATTCCTCCCATGCATCTTGGTGCTGGTGTGGGGCCTGAACTCAGCCAATCCGCAACACCTCCAGGAGTCTTCCTCTTAGATGCTGAGGCCACGGAGAAGGAAGCAGCACAAAGAATGAACCCTGGAGAGGGTGCCAGAGGCAGGCGGGTTCCAGCCATGTGGCGGCACAGCCTTACTGGGATAGTCTAGCTGTGTCACTCAGGTACGGTTGCTCTCTGAGAAGCCGCCAAACCCAACCCTTTCACACACACCTAGGATGATTTGAAGAGCTACCTAATAACCTTTCATAAGGTTCTGAAAGCCAGCCAGAGTGGTTGTGATCAGTAGTAATGAAGAGCCTTCTTTCACTGACATTCCACTTTTTACAGATGGGGAAGCCAGGCTCCAGCAGTTACAAAACAAGGTCCCATGACCCCTAGACCCTACTTGCAAAGCTGGGATTGACGCAAGCTCATCTAACTCCAAAACCCAAGCTCTTCCCACTGTGACAAGGGAGGGGACAAATAGGAAAAGGCAGTTTGAGCTTTTCTGGGAAAGGAAAGAAATGAATACCTTGGCCTTTGTCCAGATGTGGCCTGCAGAATAAATCCTATGTGGCAAGGCCGCTTAACCTCTGCCGGGGCTGTGTCATTACGGTGATTCTTCACACTAGTTAAATGCCACGGTGAGGATGGCACGGGGGAAGAAGAGCTCACGGCAGGCGCCATCTCCAGAAAGGATCCACTGCAGGTGGTTGGTGAGTCCAGATGGCTCCCCCAGATGACACTGCTGGGTGGCAACCTAATTATTTTTCATTAACTTTTAATTATGGAACATTTCAAACGTGTGCACAATTAAAGAGAGTCGTACAATGAACCTCGTGTGTCCGAAACTCAACTTCGACAACGATCAACTAAATGCCCAATCTTGTTTTATCTGTATCTCCACACACTTCCCCCTCATTCAGGATTATTTCAAAACAAACCCTGGATTTAATCATTCTAGATTTAATAATTTTATTCACTACTATTTCAGTATGTATGTCTAAAAGATAACAATATCATTTTTACACCTATAAATTAATAATAACTATATAATAGCATCGTTTAGTCTGTGTTTATGTTATTTTTTCTGGCTCGTGCATACTTTCAAAGTTTGGCTGAATCAGATCCCACTAGGTCTCATAAGCTGCAGTTGCGTGCTAGCAGGTGGTAGCTGATGTGCCTCTGAAGTGCTTTAATCTATGGGTTCCTTCTCTCCACTTTTTCCCTTGCAGTTTACCTGTTGGAAAAACAACGTTGTTTGCCTGATAGAGTTTTCCATAGTCTGGCTGATTTCATCCCCGTGGTGCTATTGAACACATTCCTCAGTGCTCCATTTTTTTCCTGTAAACTGGTAGCTAGACCTAGAAGCTTGATCAGATTTAGGTAATTGTTGGGTGTTCCTGCTGTTGTTGTTTCGTAAGATTTCCAAAAGGAGTCTCATAACGCCTGGTGTCTCTTTTTTTGAGACGTTAACAGCCATTGGTGAGCATTGTGCAGATAATGCATTCTCAGTGGGGACAATATCACCCCCGCAAGAAGAAGAGCATTGGTCATCAGGGGACAAAAGAAAATCTTAATCTTTTAATGTATAAATCGTATGTATATATACACAAACACAGTATGTAACAGATATGTAGTACATCTGTGGTATTAAAATGTCATGGTGTAGGTGATTAGAAATCAAATGCCTAAAAAGTTGAGAAACACCGTTGAGATCTGCTAACTCAGAGGTTGCACACACCCCTGAATGAGCAGATGACACCGTGTCAGGGCATCAGCAGGCAGGACAATCATGGAGCTAAGTGCTGTGGTGAAATAAATCCTGTGTTACCATTAATTCAGTAACGAGATGTTTGTATACATGGTAAGTAGCCGGAAGTGGTAAGCAAACTTCATCGGTGGCAGTGATTTATTCATATTTTTATGCCAAGCTGAATGAGCTTTTTTTTCTTTCATTAGCTCTCTGGAATCCACTGACATCAGCAGCATGGGGTTGACAGGTGTCCAGGTTGCCACTGTGGTCCCTCGTTCTCTCCCTCATGTGCCTCTGGCCAGGCACGTTCTTGGTCCTCAGAGGACAAACTTCCTGACCGAGCCAGCATTGGTCAGGAGTTCGCTGCACCCTTTCCCCACCTCTCTTACTCAGGGCGCAGGCCTCAGGCACAGGGTTGCAGCCCTCCCCTTTCCCCCACACCTCCCAACAGAGAAACCTTTGAGGAACATCGCTGTCCGTTCTCTGCTCCTTTGCCACGCTGAGCGAGCTAGCTGTGGCCAGATGTGAGCGGTGTGCAGGACGGACAGTGCAGGATGTGGCGGGTTGTGCAGGGCCCATACTGCCTGGCTGTAGGGCAGGAGTTGAGGGGTCCAGGAGGAAAGGAGGGCTGGGCAGAATGAGGAACCAAGGTCAGAGAAATGAGCTTCAGCCCCTAGGACTCTCGATGGACATGCCTATCCCAACAGTGCTGCAATGATCTGTAAGTTACACCGCCCTTTTATTCATGTTACCCAGCTCCTAACCTTCATGCTGTGAGCTAGGAAAGAGCATTGTCACTGTCCCCATTGTACAGACAAAAAAATTAAGGCACAGAAGTTAAACAACTTGTCCCAAATCACACAGACAATTAGTGGTGATTTTTAAATTCTCTGTTAATTCCCAAAACAGCCCCATTTTACAGAGGAGGAAGCTGACGCTCAGAGTGAGGAAACAGGGAGCTGGGATTTCACTTCCCACCTGTGTCTCCCCAGCCCTTGCACCTTGAGGGAAGCTGCAGGCCCCTGGACCTTCCAAAGACCCTGCTCTTGGTACTGTACGCCACTCACTGCCTCTTATACAGCAAGCTGCAAAGGTCCCCTTCTCAACCAGTCTTTGATCTGACTGGGGAGAGTGAAGGACAAGGGCCTAGAGTTGAGAGTTAGGCTTAAAATGATGCAAGTGTACCCAAGAATCATCTCAGGTGAGGAGGCCAGACTGAATCAAGCAGGACCACAAGGTCTGCAAGGCTGAACTCTTTCCTCTCCTTCCTTTATCAACGCAACCCTGACGACCACCCTCCACAGACCCGGACCTGCTCCTCTCCCATGCCCATTCCCCTAACCTCCCGCCACTCACACCCTTGCTGGAGTGCCCTGAGGTGGAGATGGTGACTTCTGTGATGGGAATGTTTGCTGAATTTCATCAGTTTTGTTTTATGGCAGCTGTAAAACCAGACAATAATCGCCAACAGGTTGAGCTGCCCTGTGTCTCTTGACCACTTCTGATCTGTGGTGATGAAACTTGCCGGGAAAGACCCCAGGGGCCCTAGCTTCCCTGCTGCTGTGTGTGTAGCCCGTCCCTCGCACCTTGGAAGCAGCCAGTCTCTGTTCTAAGCTGGCTCAGTGACACCTAAGGAAGGGGTAGGTTCTGTTCTGATGGTTATTGCGCACTCTGACTCTGGCTGGATTATGCTGCATCTTTGTTGTGCTTTTAAGCTAGAAAATTCTCTATGGAAACTGGGCTACATCATTTCTTGTAATTGAATCAAAGGCTGACATGGGATAAAAGTGGCCAAATGTGGCATTCTCAGCTAAAGGAAGCAAATTATGCCAGGGGCATGTTTGGGTCTGAGAATTCCTTACTCCTGGTAGAATGTACTTATTTTATGTCAGGCCCTCTCCTAGGGACAAGGACACTAAAGAAGCAAGGCAGACAAAGGCCCTGCCTTACATTCTAGAAGATTCCATGTCAAAGTGAGACATACTTTGGGCATGGGCTATGAAGTAGGACTTCTTAGTGTATTTCCTTTAAATTGCGTGTTTCCCAGTGGGTTAAACAGCTGTTCCTGCCCTGTTCAAGAAGTGTGCTGAAGTAGCGAAGGGCCAGGCTTTGCAGATGGGCAGACCTGTGTTCTACTGGCTCTACCACTCTTCAGCTATGTGACTTACGCAACTTCCTTAACTGCTCCGTAGTATATTTTCTTACCTGTAAATTGGGGATAATGCCACTGTAATAACAGGATTGCTATAAGGTCGAATGGAGGACATAGGCAAAGAGCTCATCCTGGCACCTGCCACACAGCACCCAGTAGGCGTACCATAACTGATCATTATTATTCTTTCACTGCTTGACAGACTTATTTTTTTCTGCTGATTTGAAATGAGTGTCAGGGTTTTGAAGCAATGTCCATTAGGTTAATGGGGTTGGAAAATTTGGAGAGCTGGGAGTTTTCTTTTTCAATGATAGGGTAAAATCTGGAACTTGAGGAGTTACATTGATCTGTCAGGTAATGATTCAGCCTACCATCCAGGGTACAGCTTCAGCCAGGGAGGGCAAGGATGGTGATCATGGGGATGCCTGGCTATCCTTACCTGTGCCAGCACCTCTACTCCATCCCACTCCTCTGCCCTGATCCCAACATAGTCCTGGAATTTTTTCCCATGCAGTTGAATCAATTGATCTTGCCTGAGTGCTGAAGCTGTCTGTCACCTCTAACCTAGACTATTAGAGTGGCAAGAAATCTGCTAGTTCTTTTTCATTTTTAAGTAATATGATGTTTTAAAGTGCAGCTTCACAGAGTCCTGGAATTTAGACAATGTGAACATTTCACAGGACTGTTAGGTGTACATGAAATTCAGTGTTGCATATCAGTAGGCATTTGTATTTATATAACTATTCTTGCATGGATAGCCACTTTCCTACATCTGTTTTTATATGATTACCTTAATAGTAGACCCAAAACCTCTCTCCCACTCTCCTTTAACCCAGTATTCAGAAGGGATATGTTACTTATAAAAGATTAGAATTTATTGATTTTATGCATGACTTTTTCTGAGCTTTGCTGGTCATGCAGTTTTATAGCTTTGCTGTTAGGTTTTTTGTTTTGTTTGCTTTTAAATTAAGCCAGGAAGGCCAATGATTTCTCAAATATAAGCAATTTCAACTAGTTTCAGCCTGTAAACAATTACCATGGTGTACTAAGTGGAATAGTTCTTACCGGGACACAGTATGAACAGCATACTATAAATTCTTCAGACCTCAGCAGGTCATATAATCATGGAACCTGGGAGACTCTTAACCCATCTTAACCTTCCTGCCTGCAAAAGACTGGTCAGATTGGCTATGTCTCTTACTTTCTCAAGAATCTTTCATTGCTCCTATTCTTTGTAATTTAAAGTTCAAGCTTTGGCATATGCTGTGATTTGAATGTTTTTGTCCACTTCAAAAATTCATGTACTGAAAACTTACTCCCCGATGCAACAGTGTTGTGTGGTGGGCCTTTTGGGGAGATGGCTACACCATAAGGGCTCTGCCTTCATGAAGGGATTAGTGCTGCTATAAAAGGGCTTGCGGGCACGGGTCACTCTCTTCACTCTTTTGCCATGTGAGGGCACAGCAGTAGTCCCTCTGGCTCTCCCACCTCCACCGTGTGAGGATGAAGTAAGAAGGTCCTCACCAGAAGCCTCTGCCTTGATCTTGAACTTACCAGCCTCCAGAACTGTGAGAAGTCTATTTCTGTTCTTTATAAATCACCCAGTCTCAGATATTTTGTTATAGCAGCACAGACTACGACAACGTGCCTAGGCCCATCAGAGTCTGCCCTCCACCCACCTTCTCAGCCTCCTCTATGATCCTCTTTTCCCAGCCTGAAGCTCACGTCTCCTGACTGCTCTGGCCCAGTATCTGCCACACTCTTCATGCTTTGGTGCCTTTGTGTCTTGTCCCTCAGCCTGGAATACCCTTCTCTCTTTCTCCCCTGCAGTGAATTCCTGCTCATCCTTCAAGATCAGTGGAAAACATAGCTCTTCTTTGAAGCCTTCCCTGACCAGCTCTGAGCACAGTTAGTTGTTCCTTTCCTGGAGGTCCAGTAGGATCTAGAGTCACTGCCTCCTTGTAGAAAGACCCTTCACATGGTACCAGAGATGGTAGTAAACATGCTTGAGTCAGGAAAGACTTTTCCAACTTTTATTACTGTACTAATGCATTTAACTAACACAGATATGGAGACACTGTGTTGATGCCAGAGTATCTGTTATATCCAAATAAGGATGACTAAGTAAATGGATCCTCCATCAGAATAATATTGTTAGAATTATACCAATGCTGCCAATCATCTTCCCTAATTTTATTAAACAAATCCAAATGATATTTTCTTATTCTCTTGATTTTTTTAAAAAAGTACTTTAAAAAAACTTCCACTTAAAGGGTAGGGCTGAAAAGAGGGGTAGAGAATGTTTTAGGAGAGTGTTGGAATTGCAGGACATGGGTAACTGCCCTAGTCTTCCACAGAGATGCTGTGGCAAAGAGTGGACATGAAGCCTTCAGGTCAGATACTAGATTTGTGTTCAACGTTGCTATATTTAGATAACTTTTTGAGAAAGCAACTGTGGCAAACATGATCGGTTGCCTCCTGACAGCTATTCTCCCTTCTCATTTTCTCATACAATTCCAATTTTCAGAAAGAGGAGTTGGCAATGTGCTCAACCCAGAGGATCAGCCATAATTTATCTAAGTAAATCATGGCAACCACCGTGTGCCAGTGATCACTGTAGGCATGGGGAGGTGAATCACTTCTGGCCAATACAATCTAAGTGAAGTACGCTGGGCAGGGAAGGGGCTTTGGCAACAGTTCTCCCTACATGATGAGAAAGGAGGTTGCTCAAACTTTGGGTGTTGTCATGTGAATACCCAACGCTTAGAACCCCTATGGTGATTCTGTAATCAAGGTGGGGAGCAGCTCCCATCCTCTGAGGTTGGCAAAATGGGAAAATTGAACCTGAGTCTTTGAAAAAAGTCATGATGAAACTAAGCCTGGGCCACCCACTCTAGGACAGGACTTCTTGTTAATAAATAAAAATATGTCTTTTTGTTTTAGGTCACTGATGGGTGAATTTTCTGCTGCTTGCAACCAGATGCCTTCCAACTAAATCAGTGGCTAAAGTTTTTGGGAGGTTGCTATGGTTTGAATGTGTCCCCAGATTTCAAGTGTTGGAAACTTAATCTCCAAATTCATGTGTTGATGCTTTTTGGAGGTGGGGCCTTTGAGGATGTAATTAGAATTAGGTAAGGTCATCTGGGCAGGGCCTCCATGACTTATAAAGTCATGGCTTTATAAGAAGAGAAAAAGAGATCCCCCACCATGGGATGACACAGCAAGAAGGGCCTCACCAGATGCCAGCACCTTGATATAGGACTTCCCAGCTCCAGAATTGTAAAAGTTACCCGACATGTAACATTCTGTTATAGCAGCAGAAAATTGACCAAGACAGGAATCCAGGACCAGGTGGGAGATTCTTTGAAAAAGAATTAAAGATATTGGTGATCTCAGATCTACACCAATGTACTAAGTCCAGAAAGAGAAGACATTTGCATGTAGACTCCTAGAAGAGAGATAGGCTTGATGAAAGGAATCCAAGTGGTGAGGTGAGACATGTGGCGCTTTGGGAACTGGAGGATATTAAGAAGTATATGACTCAGTAGGAATCTTAACAGTTGCCTGAATGATCGAAAAGGGCTCAGGGTGGGAAGATTCTTTTGAACTCCCAGTTATCCCACATTCAAAGTCCTTAAATAGTACCTGTGACACTTACAAGACGTGTGAGTGAAGAGAGCAGCCTCCTTGCAGGAGAAGCGTGGGGGTGGCAGGTCAGGGTGGGAGCAAAGGGAGGGATGTTGCTGGGCTAGTGTGAGCTATGCCAGAGGAAATGGATGAAGAACTGAAGGCACAGAGTAATGCGTTAAAATAATTATGGGAAACCCAAGTTGGCAGTAAGAACCATCAACAATTGTGCAGTCTACAGGGGGACTATGAGGAATAATGTTGTATAAATGAGAATTTGTATCATATGTGCAGAGTGTGTGTGTGTGTGTGTGTGTGTGTGTAAATGACAGCTGGGAATGCCATTCAGGGTGTATTACTGTAATTGAATTGGAGACCTCTCCTAGTTTGGGGAGTTATATATTTGGAGTTTTTACCTGGACAGGGAGAAAGCCCGGGGGGGCGGCGGTGGGGGGGTTGGTGGTGATGTCCCAAATAGTCTATTGAGCTCCATCAGGAAATGTTTCCCAGTCAAGCCTCCCCATCTGGCCCAGACTGGGATGCAGGAGTCATAGCTTTCTTCATACCTTATCTTACACCCAGCCCCAGTATTTATATGTTTATATGTTGTCTCTGTAAAATGCTGTCAGCCCTTCAAGCACATGAGCTTTGAGAATATAATCTCTAACACAGTACAGGAGCACCTGCTCAGCAGTTAGTAAACACTGCCAGAATGAACAAGAACCACAGTAAATGTAACATCCGTTGCAAGAATAGATAGAAGTATGGAAGGTTGACTTTGAAATACTTTATAACATTGGTGCCTTGGTTAGGGATGTGAGTAAAATGCCTCTAATGTGTCTCTTGAGTTGATGTTTGCATTATTGGATTGTGGTTGTGGGTACAGTGAAAGAAATGTGTTTTTACCTCCCTTCAGGCCACTTCTCCAGGGACAGCTGCCTGGATCAATCTTGGCTACTCAGGTTTCTGACGGAGGGTTTCTGTCACTTGATCATCACATCAGCTAAGGGTTAAATAGTGTATATAAAGTAAGACAAAACAAAACAAAGCAAAATTTAAAAACCCACATCACATTCGTTTTGGACCTCTGCAAGATCTGCACTTTTCATACACGTTTAGATCTCTGATAGGAAAATGGTGCCCTCTTGGTCTGCCCTGATTAAATGTAATTGGCTGCAGACATCTGTGGCACACAGATGTCCTGCCTGCACTCGGGAAGGGAGAGTGACACTCTGGGAGGGTGGGAGAGCTCTCAGGGGAACTTTTCCCCTTTCTTTATCTAAAATGAAGTTCCCTGACTCCCTCCTTCCAACTGTGGACTCCAGAAACAGAAATGAAATGGCAGTTAAAGGAGCCACACAGACGCCTCCCTGCATGTGCACTGAGGGAAAAATTAAAAGATGAAAAAAAAAAAAAAAGACATGGACTGAAATGCTTACCTCCCTGATCTTATACAAAATGAAGTTTCTCCCACAAGCACTGCACTGCACTGATTTTTTTTCTACCAACAGATAAGATCAATCAGATTCGTGTTTTGCAACTACTTCTTGGCAAGACGTACGGGACTGACCGCAGTTGACACATGCCAATAGGGGGAGAAATCTGAAGACGTGTTTCTGTGCAGTGGTGGCACCCAGGGGCTCTGGCCAGAGGAGGTCACAGGAAGATGCCTAGCGGCCCGTGGAGCGACCTGCCCCGCATTGTCACTTGACCGCTGGTGTGCGAAGGGGATAACACTGTGTTCAATGTGTTTGTAACCTTGCATGAAAAAATTGAAGAAATGTCACTTTCTTCTCACCCTCTCCCAGGCCAATCATCTGTCATGAATTCAATATGAGGCAAACGTCTGGTGATCACAGGGACAAACTAGGGATAGGCCTTTGGGAGAGGAATCTACTCAGTTTGTGTTCAACCGGACTATCCAGGTAGGGGAGCTGGCTGGAGAGGGAGCCAGCATTTGTTGACTGTAATCTCTGAGCTAGGGTCGCAATTACATCTTCTGCATCTTTGTGTGCATAGTACCAAGCACAGAATTATCCAGAGTAGACACTCAATAATTGTTTGTTGGAAGAGTCATTGTTGCTTTTGCTTCCAAGCCCCTCACAAATTTCCACACAGTGCAGTTGAGCTCGCACAGTCAATGAACAGTTTATATCTGATTAATAGGGGCTGATAGTCTGAGGTGGCCTGCCTTCTTGCAGAGAAAGTTTGGGGTGGGTTACTGAGACAGGCTGGATTCATGGGGTGAGTTGGCTCATGACCCAACATAGCCAGGAAGCAAAGCGGATATTCCTCTGAATTTTGCAGGCCAGGTGTGGCATGTGTCTGAAATTTCAGCTGCTTTATCTTTATACCCATCATTTTGGTAAGACTATGTGTCCAATCTGAAATTCACCAACAGGACAGGGCCAGCTGCCAGAACTGAAGTCCCAAGAAGAAAACCAAGCAAAGCTGAGACACAAACCTGAACTTTTGAACTTGTCAATCTACTGAGTCAACTAACTCTGGGACTCCCATGTCTGGACTTCTTCATGTGTGTTAACCTATCTTCCTTGTTGCTTTTGCCACAAGGTGTTCTGGTTCTTGTAACCAAACGCATCCCATCTGACTCACTGGGCACCTGACTCCAGTTGTGTAAAACAGGCCCAGATAGCTTGCCTTTGCCTCCGTTGGCGTGTGGTGGACAATTGTAAATTTCCTTGTAAGGTATATTAGTCCGTTCTCACGCTGTTATAAAGAACTGCTCAAGACTGGGTCATTTATAAAGGAAAGAGGTTTAATTGACTCACAGTTCTGCACGGCTGGGGAGGCCTCAGGAAACTTACAAACATGGCAGAAGGGAAAGGAGAAGCAGGCGCCTTCTTCATAGGGTGGCAGGACAGAGTGAGAGCAAGCAGGGGAAAATGCCAGATGCTTATAAAACCATCAGATCTCATGAGAACTCACTATCATGAGGACAGCATGGTGGTAATCACTCCCATGATTCAATTACCTCCCACAGGGTCCCTCCAACGACATGTCGGGATTATGAGAACTACAATTCAAGATGAGATTTGGGTGGGGACACAACCAAACGATATCATAAGGTATTTTCTCCAATCAAATATCCTGGAAACCCCATGTTTATGGTATTCCATTATGGCAGCCTGAACGGAGTAAGGCAGCTACTACCAAAGGACAGAAAATCACAAGTGCTGGAGAGGACGTGGAGAAACTGGGATCCTTCTGCACTGTTGATGGGAATGTCACACACATCTCTGTGGCAAACAATATGGTGCTTCCTCGAAAAATTCAACATGGAATTATCATGGGATCCGGCAACTCCACTTTTGAGTATACACCCACAAGAATTGAAAGCAGGTATTCAAACAGGTGTCCGCACATCTGTGTTCATAGTAGCATTACTCACAATAGACAACAGCTGGAAGCCATCCAAATGTCCACTGATGAATGAATAAACCAAATGTGGTCCATATATGTAATGGGATATTATTCAGCCCTAAAAAGGAGGGAAATCCAGTCCCATGATACATCATGGATGAACCTTGAGGATGTTATGCTAAGTGAAATAATCCAGACACAAAAAGACAAACACTGTATGATTCCACTTACATGAGGTTCCTAGAGTAGACAAATTCACAGAGACAGAAAGTAGAATGGTGGCTGAGGAGAGGAAGGAGCGGGGAGTTGGTGTTCAAGGGGTACAGAGTGTCAGTTCTGCAAGACATGAAGCTTTCTAGACATGGTGTATGCAATTTAAATATATTTAATATGATTGGACTGTAAATTCAAGTGGTTAAGATGGTAAATTTTATGTGTATTTTACTGCAACTTAAAAATGAGGTTATTAACTTTTTTTAAATTTTAAAAGAAAAGTGGAAGAAATAAAAGATGGGTACATCAAATGTTTCTTTATGATCATGAACAACACAAAACAATCTGTAAAAAGGTAAATCTTCCTGTAAGCAAAATAGAATGTTTGTGTGTCGAGAGGGGGTGAGGACGTTTAAACTCAGCTCGATAGCTAAGTTTATGTTGCACATATGGGGCTGAGTCTCAGGCAAGAGTCCAGGGCAGGAGGCACAGAGCTGAGCTCCACAAGAACTGTGAGAATCGCTCAGGAGGACATGGAGGGCAGTGGTCCTCACCCAGGGCACGTTTGGCAAAGTCTGAGACACTGCTGCCTGTCACAATCAGGGGAGGGAGAATGCTGCTGGCACCCAGTGTGGAGTTCAGGAATGACTAAACATCCCACGGTGCACAGGACAGTCCCCACGACTAATGTCCCAAACGTCAGCAGTGCCGACTTGAGACCCGCAGCCTGGATGTTCTATGCCAGGTGCCTGCACTGCTCCTGGGGTGCTGACTTCCGTTGAGTTCCCGTGTGCTCTGCACGGCCTGTTCCCTCTGCACCCCTTCCTCTTTGGGGTGGAGATGAAGGAGTGAGCTTGTACAGTTATGGAAGGCGAAGACAAAACAAGGCTTTGTGAACCTGTTGTGACAATGCACTTTTGCATATAGTACTATGGTTTCTGGCGTGTACTATCACAGCCCTCAGTATATAGTCAGGTGCACCTTTATCATAAATAAGATAGCACCAGTATGATAGTAGCTAGCCCCGTGCAAGCACTAGAGATGTGTCTGGAGCAACGGAGGAGCTAAGTTCTCAATTTCATTTCATAGCAGTTAATTTGAATAGCCGCTGGTGGCCAGCAACTACTGTATTGGACTTTGCAGGACTAGCATGAGAGAAGAGGAGGGCCAAGGAGCGTAGGTCATTCTGTGAGAGGAGGTCACTGATAATCTGTCACACCTAAGAGGACCATCTGCAGGTTACCATTGAGCCGGGCAGGTCACGGCATTTCTGCCTCTATTTCCCCTCATTGCCCTCTGTGCCTGTTTCCAGAAGGGCCCCAAATAGAAGTTAGTATCAGAGGAGCTCCCTCCCTGTCTTCCTCCCTCCTCCCTCCCTTTTCCCCCGGCAGCCAGCTGTGTGCCAGGCATCTTCTTAGACACAGGAGCTCCGAGAGGATTAAGACATGGTCATCACCCCTTATGTGGAGTGGTTTGCTCTGGGCTGTGGAGAGAAGTGAAAGCTCGTTTATTTCCTTGCTGGGCAAGTGGGGCCGAGCCCGAGATGACTTCTCCTTATCACTGCTGCTGCAGCTCCCTTCAGACGTCATTTAGGCGGCTGATAATGAGGGCTTCGTTTGCTGCTGGGAGGAGAGAAGGAAGAGTTTGACAGACAAAGGCCCAGGAGAGACAAGGAGTTCAGGCAGGGAAATGGAGGCTGGGGTTTGAGTGCATACCCCAATCAATTCCAGACACGATGTTTGATCTCCACACAGGAAAGAGGTATGAGCTGGTGGGAAAGGCGCGCAGTGTCATGTCCAGGCCCAACTGGCAGTTTGGGACACTAAGTGGTGGTGAGGGGCCCTGCCCTCAGCCTGTGCACACTTCCTCGCCCCATCCACACTCATCCATTCTGCCTGGGACCCTGGGGGGACGCACCACGCAGGGCTGTGTGCTCTCGGTGCAGCAGCGTTCTCAGGGGATTAGGCCATGCCCTGCGCCACAGCCTGCGGGCCGTGGATCCCAGCCTACAGCTGAGGTGGGTCCAGGGGCTGGCTTTGTGGCAGAGCCCATCTGGGAAACAGGAGTGGGGCTGGGAGAAATGGGTGCCAGGCAAGTGTGGACTTCATTCTACCCTGGGCTTCTGAGGCCTGAGGACACTGCATTAGCTTGGACCCATACTATGCTGAACAGCCACTTCCACAGAGATGACTTGTTTGCTTCAGTAAGACTGGAACCATGTCTGCCACCTGGGCAATCCTTCCACAGGTATCGCATTGCTGAGCACAGAGCGGGTGCTGTGGAGGTTCAGGAGACCTCTCAGAGGCTGGGCCCTGTTACTGGCAGGTGATCTGAGCATGGTGAGCCTGCTGCCTGAAGGTGACTTGGACATCATTGACACCGGGTTGTGGAGAGCATCGTGACTTGCCTTTGCAAGAGATTCGCTCTCCTAATCTTGTTTTGCCCAGGATGCCACTTGAGTTTGCATTTCCCGCACACACACAGCCCTTCTCTTAATACAGTGTGGGTGAGCTGCAGATAAGCAATGTGTAAGGAGACACCGTTGGGACTAAACACTTTCCAGAATAATCTACCATAGGAAATTAAAGGAGGAACTTATTCCACTGCTACCCTTATTTTGCAGGATGGGAATCTGGGGTACAATATAATTTTATGCCCATTCCAGTTCAAAGCTCTTCCTCAGAGTTTTTTTTTTTTCCAAAGGAAAACTGGAAACCATGTTTTTCTTGGTCTGTATGTCCTCAAAGGACCGACATAACTGACACAGCATGAGGGGCAGCTGCCAAAGGCACAGTATTGGCACCAGTGGAGGATGTCCAGGTTCTTGGCATCTTGAACAAAGAATAGGACAAAATGTGCAAACAAAGCAAGGAAGGAATGAATGGATTTATTGAAAATGAAAGTACACGCCACAGTGTTGGAGCAGTCCTGAGCATAGGGGCTCAAAGGCCCGTTCCAGAATTTTGGGGAGTTTAAATACCCTCTACTTGGAGTATGCCCTATGTAAATGAAGAGCATGAAGTAAAGTTACAAAGTCATCTACGGCGTACGCCCTATGGAGTGGATATTTCCTGTCATAGCTGAAGTGTGAATCGGCCTTATATTCCCTGCCTCCAGACCCTATTTTCCTGCCTCAGTATCACCGAGGCTGAGACTTGGCCTGCATAGCAGAAAACTTCTAAGTAACAATAGCAGAAGCAGGATAGAAATACATTTCTCTCACAAGCAAAAAAAGGCTCACTGATCAGTCATAAGTAGGTCCAAGGTGTGATCAGGGACACATAGTCCTGTCACTTTCCTTTGTCTTTTTCCATCTGTGACTTCTGGACAGAAGCTTTCCTAATGGTCTAAAATGGCTTCTGGAGCACCAGCCATCATATCCGTGTCCCAGAGTGGCAGAAGAGAGGGGAAAAAAATACCTTCTTTAGGCTAAATCAGCTCTCTTAAAGCAATCTTTCTTAGCATAAGAAAGACTAGCAAATGGGGTCTTTTAGCTGGGTGTGCTGCCATTCTGAAGAAAACCAGTGTTCTGACACTAAGAAAGGGAAGCTTCTCCCATGACACCACGCCCCATTTAATACTGGAGATCATTTCTGATGCATCTCACTACTTCCATTGTGCCTAGCACACCACCTGGCCAGAAATGGAGCTGGTTTGTGTTTGTCAAATGTTAATGAAAGCTACCCTCAAACAGCTACTTTCAGCTGTCTAGGACATTGATGGCTCATTTTGCAAGACACCTGCTGGTGCTGGGGATAGATAAACCAGGCTATTGCAGTGGACTCTAAAATGTGATACTACATACTTGGGCCACCCCTAGAGCTGTTCATGTGGTCATATCTCACTTTTTTTCCCCCAGTTCTTTAAGAGATTTTCTTTTTTTGGTTATCTTATTCTTCTTTGGTTTACAGAAGTAATATACAAAAATTCATTGCAAACGAGTTTCAAGCATTTCAGGACAGATAACATAGGACGTGAGAGTCCTAATGATTGCATCTTCTAGAAACACCACTGCAGGGCCAGTTGCAGTGGCTCACCCCTGTAATCCCAGCACTTTGGGAGGCCAAGGTGGGCAGATCATGGGGTCAGGAGATCGAGACCATCCTGGCTAAAATGGTGAAACCCTGTCTCTACTAAAAATACAAAAAATTAGCCAGGCGTGGTGGCGGGCGCCTGTAATCCCAGCTACTCAGGAGTCTAAGGCAGGAGAATCACTTGAACCTGGGAGGTGGAGGTTTCAGTGAGCTGAGATCACACCACTGCACTCCAGCCTGGGTGACAGAGTGAGACTCCGTCTCAAAAAAAAAAAAAAAAAAAAAAAAGAAAAAGAAAAAGAAACACCACTGCTACCAGCTCAGTGTTTGTTTTTCTTTTTGGAGATAGATATATAGAATTACAGGGAGCCATACTTGCCTTTTCACTTAGTAACATATGTTGGAAAGTTTTTGATATGTCTCTACATTGATCTTTATTATTTATTCCATTATTTTCAACTTTTTGTGACATTAGAATGTTTATCAAAGTAACACACTATTTAAAAATAATATCAGGCCAGGTGCGGTGGCTCACGCCTGTAATCCCAGCACTTTGGGAGGCTGAGGCGGGTGGATCATCTGAGGTCAGGAGTTCAAGACCAGCCTGGCCAACATGATGAAACCTCGTCTCTACTAAAAATACAAAAGTTAGCTAGGCGTGATGGCAGGCACCTGTAATCCCAGCTACTTGGGAGGCTGAGGCAGGAGAATCACTTGAACCCGGGAGGCGGAGGTTGCAGTGAGCAGAGATCACACCACTGCACTCCAGCCTGGGTGACAGAGTGAGACTTTGTCTCAAAAAAACAATTAAATAAAAATGATACCAATCAGTTTATGTTTCTTCTTCACTCATCCCCACTTTCCAAACCTGCTCAAACACATATTAACTTCTTTATCATTTTATTTTGCTAATTACCTTCATGTTTCTAAATAAATGTTTTTTCTTCTATTTGTTGATTCATCAACATTAAACATATTCTGTTTATTTTGTGTTATCCTAGATGGTTATTTAATTCTCTTATGCCTGCCTCTCCTTAGGTCCCCAAATAGTTAGATCAGCATGTTTTAAAAACAAGTTAATACTTAGGATTTTTTTACTACATAGTCCACTGTTGAGACAAGTATTGTATTAAGGTGATATTTCATTTCTTGTACAACTTCGATTTTCCCAGAGTTTTTTTTTTTCACTTGCATTGTTTTCCATGAGACTATTCTCAAAATTTGCAAACGGCTCCAACAGATGTTGATCAGTAATTTTTACACAAGTGCTCCCTTACATCACATAGTCCACTCTTTTACTCAGTCATTTGTTTGCTGATTTATTTAGCAAACGTTCAAGATGCCTGAGTTTCTCCCTCTTTTTCACTTTTGTCTTCTAGTAATTCTTTTGAAGCGTGCACATCTGGGGGCCACCAGCCCCACAGACTGGCCACAGACTCTATTTGCCACATTCCCTGAAGGCGGGAGTGGCCGGGGTCAGTGGAGAGGCCAGGCTTGAGGGGAGGTGTGGGTTGGGCATGGTCTCTGAACTGCCTGGACTCCTCTGTAAGGACAGTTTTGTGGGCTCTCTTCATGGGCACCTCGTGCACTGTTGGTGAATTTCTGGGGGAAGGCATCATCCGCCCTGTGGCTGTTGAGAGCGGAACTGGCTTCTCTTCGGTCTTTCAGTTGTTCTCTGTAATTCAAGGCCGGCTTCTTGGATGGATGACCTGCGCAGTCACAAGAGACCCCACACCCGGAAGAGCCCTGTGCTCGGTTTAAGGCTCTGTCGTTGCTGTCTTGAAATCTTCCTAACCGCGTCTCTGAGATTTTTGTAAGCCTGGTGGGACAGTACAGCAGCACCTGAGCGATACGCACGTCCCCGGCCCCGGCCACCCACTTCGCACATGGCGCTCGGGATGCCCTTATGAGCACAGAATTCTGGTGGACCCGGGAAGCACAGGACTCCAGGAAGCCTGAGCAGGTGCAAGGTAAAAACACATCCCATCCGAGACTCAGTACGTCGGGCACTGACAGCCCCCAAATTCTAGACTCTCCCCCTTGAAGCAGGACTTGCTTGCAGAAAGAAGGTAGAGCTGTTCTAAGAAACACAAACAGCCAGGGAAACCTGCCACATTCCTTCTTTTTTTTTTTTTTTTTTTTTTTTTTTTTTTTTTTTTTTTGAGATGGAGTCTCGCTCTGTCACCCAGGCTGGAGTGCGGTGGCGCGATCTCGGCTCACTGCAAGCTCCACCTCCCAGATTCACGCCATTCTCCTGCCTCAGCCTCCGGAGCAGCTGGGACTACGGGCGCCCGCCACCACGCCTGGCTAATTTTTTTTGTATTCTTAGTAGAGACGGGGTTTCACCGTGTCCGCCAGGATGGTCTCGATCTCCTGACCTCGTGATCCGCCCGCCTCGGCCTCCCAAATTGCTGGGATTACAGGCGTGAGCCACCGCGCCCGGCCACCTTCTTGTATTAACCAATCACTTATGCTGAAAAATGTCATAGAAGGAAAGGGGAAAAACAAGACAACTGTGGTTCCTTCTCCTTTCGGTGTTTCCTTTCCCCACGAGTAAGCCCAAGGCACAGGGTGTTGGCAGAATGTGCACGTGTCAAGAAGCGAAATAAAAACAGCTGAGCGTGGTGGCTCATGCCTGTAATCTCCACTTTGGGAGGTTGAGGCAGGCGGATCACGAGGTCAGGAGTTCAAGATCAGCCTGGCCAGCATGGTGAAACCCTGTCTCTACTAAAAATACAAAAAATTAGCTGGGCATGGTGGCACACGCCTGTAATCCCAGCAAATCTGGAGGCTGAGGCATAAGAATCGCTTGAACCCAGGAGGCAGAGGTTACAGTGAGCAGAGATTGCACCACTGCACTCCAGCCTGGGTGACAGAGCAAGACTCTGTCTCAAAAGACAAACAAACAAACCAACCAACAAACAAAAAACAGCTGAGTGCAGTGTTTCTGTTGTCTGGCAAACATGGAATACCCACACACACAAGTATTAGCTACAAAATAGGGAGTATGTCCTTTCAATGATTCCTCAGACAAGTTAAATGCTTTCATATATGCATTTAAAACTGCCAAGGCACATTGTAAAGATGGACAGAAAAAAAATCATGCTAATGATTTAAATTTTTAACTTTTATTTACCTAGAAGAAGTTTAAAGAACAAACAAAAAGCACCGAGTCAGGTCAGCAGAAAGACCACAGGAAAGAGGAATAAATTTTATATTTTAGTGCTTTTAATGTCACTCTTTTTTTTTCTCTGCTCTTTTGATAAGGGGCCCCACATTTTTAATTTGTACCAGGCTCCAGAAATGATGTAGCTTTCCCAAATCTTTCTTTTGATTCAACTGGGAGGAATTGTTTAGGTTACATGTGTCTATCCAGGTGCTGAGGCAATAAGGTTTTAAGGAAAGTTTTGATCAGAATCGTTGTCTCTGAGGAATTAATAATATGACTGGAGACGCTGGATTTATACACAGACTAGACAAATCCAAGACTGCATAAAATCTAAAGTAAGCTGAGGATGCCCATAAGTAACAGAATAGAGAAGAGAGAGAAGTATTGCTTGCTTAAAAACAGCCACCATGAATGAAAAACTATTCTGAGATAGGCCTTATGAGAGAGGAGGCAGGAGTATCCCCTAACTCTACTATGTTGGTATTTTCTGAACCCCAAATGGGGATACTGAGGGTGACCCATCACTCAGCAAAGGAACAGAATGTTGAAGCGTTTGGCCATTTTCTGAGTAATGATTCTTTGTTTTCTAGAGCTCCTTCCTTTCTCCACTGCCCATTTCAGATTTGGACCTGGTACTTCTTACTTACAACACCTGCTTGTGTTCCCCGACGCCCACAGGGCTGTGCCTTCCTTCTTCAGAAGTCACAGGGCTGTCTAGCGCCTGAGTCACTGCTGTAATTAGCGACACACACACCAGCCGGTCCCTTTGCCTGGTTGGGAAAGGGACAGCTTTTTGGCAAGAAAAGATCACCCAGAACACCCAGAACTAAATATTCTCTGGTTCCTATTAGCCCTGGGCTTCTTACAGCACTAATTAAACCACTGTTTTGTCTTCTTAGCCATTAATATGCTGAGATCACAGCCCCCGGGTTGGGGGAGGAAGGATAGTGCAGAAAAAAACGGTAATTCCCTCCCTCAATCAATAGGTGCCTGTACGAGGAGGCAGAGCCCAGGGCACACATGCACACACACAACAGCCAGATTTCTGCTCTCAAAGGCAGCGGATTTCAGGGGCATAGCCAAGGGATTTTGCAAAAAAAAAAAAAAAAGCAAAAAAACAAGAAAAACTCCATGGTGCTATTTTGTGGAGAAGTGACCCTCTCTGTTTCCACCGTTTAAATCCTGCTCCACCATCACATTGCAGAGCCCACTCTTTCACTCAATCATTTATTTGCTTATTGATTTATTTAGCAAACATGCAAGATGCCTGAGTTTCTCTTTTTCACTTTTGTCTTCTAGTAATTCTTTTGAAGCATGCACATCTGGAGGTCACCAGTCCCCACAGGCGGGCCATAGACTCTATTACCACATTCCCTGAAGGTCGGGATGGCCTAGGTCCGTGAAGAGGCCAGGCTTGCAGGGAGGTGTGGGGTGGGCATGGTCTCTGAACTGCTGCGACTGCTTCGTAAGGGCAGTTTTGTGGGCTTTTGAAGGCAGTGGATTTCAGGAGCATGGCCAAAGGAATCTGCAAAAAAAGCAAGAAAAATCCATGGGTGCCATTTTGTGAAGTGACCCTGGCTGCTTCCACCGTTTAAATTCTGCTACCGTGGGGGAGTATCAAACCATTCACTGCAGAGATGTGACTGGTGTATTACCTACCACCAGGGAGGGAGTGGCACCCAATGTTGGATGCATATCTCCTTACCATCCCTGTAACGCCATCCCTTTCTGTCTAAAAAAACATATTCACATACGTGTGAGTGGAAGCAGTGTTATTGTAGGAATTGCCCTGGAAACTGCTCTAATGTATTATTCTTTTAAGTAACATTTTGATAATAGTTGTTAATATTATTAGTTACTGTTATTCTAACTGTCCAACCCCATGGAACACCCTGGGGTCACACTCCAGGCAGAGGATGGTGAGTGCAGTTCATGCTTAGGGGCCCTCATTCTCCAGTGGAACCAGAGAAATGAGATTTTTCACCTGCAGCAAAAAGGAAATAGGGTCAGGACATAAACCAATTTTTCTGAAAATCTTTCTTTCAATTAATAAATACTAGTAATAAACATCCAAGAAAAAGGTTTGAAGTTCACAGAAAAGAATGCTGCTGCAAACAAAATTCTAAAATACCCATAATCTCACTACTCAGAAATACTTACCATTATCATTTTACCCTAGACTTTATTATACAAATTTTAAACATCCCCAAAAGGTTGAAAAATAATGTGACAAACATTGATATTTCTACCCCATGGATTCAATGATTGTTAACAATTTGCCTTATTTCTTTATCTTGCTTGACAATTTTCATTTTAGTTTATGATCTCTTATATTTTTTCTTTGCATATAAATCCTTCCCTCCCCATCAAATTGAGTTTGTAAGTGCCTGCTGGGGTTTTGAACTTGTAGTTGAAATACACACAACATCAACTTTCCTATCTTCATTTTTTTTGAGATGAAGTCTCACTCTGTCTCCCAGGCTAGAGTGCAGTGGTGCAATCTCCGCTCACTGCAAGCTCCACCTCCTAGGTTCACGCCATTCTCCTGCCTCAACCTCCCGAGTAGCTGGGACTACAGGCGCACGCCACCATGCCCTGCTAATTTTTTGTATTTTTTAGCAGAGATGGGGTTTCACCGTGTTAGCCAGGATGGTCTCGATCTCCTGACCTCATGATCTGCCCGCCTTGGCCTCCCGAAGTGCTGGGATCCTGTCTTCATTTTTTTCAGTGTATGCTTGAGTGGTAAGAACGCTCACGTTGTTGTGCAGCCATCACCATTTCCATCTCCAGAACGCTTTTCACCGTGCAAAAATGAAACTTCATACCCAGTAAACAGTAACGCCTCATTCTTCCTCCCTCCTCCTAGCTTCGAATAACTCCCCCCTTCTACTTTCCATCTCTATGAATATGACCACGCTAGGAACCTCATTTGAGTGGAATCACCCAGTATTTATCTTTTTGTATCTGGGTTATTTCTCTTAGCGTAATATCCTCCAGGCTCACATGGTTGTTGCAAATGACGGGATTTCTTTCCTTTCTAAGGCAGAGTGACATTCTACTGTATGTGTATGCCCATTTTGTGTATCCATTCATCTTTTGATGAACACTTGAGTTGCTTCCACCTTTTGGCTATTGTGAATAATACCGCTAAGAACATGGTATACAAATATGTCAAGACTCTCCCTTCAGTTCTTGTAGGTATATGTCCAGAAGTGGCATTGATGGAACATATGGTAATTTCATGTTGAATTTTCTGAGGAATGCCGTACTATTTTCCACAGTGGCTGTATCATATTACATTGCCAAGAACAGTGCACAAGGGTTTCAGTTTCTCCACATTCTTGCCAACAGTTAATACCTGTTTTTCTTATGGTAGCCACACTAATGGCTTTGAAGTGGTATTTCATGGTGGTTTTGATTTGCATTTCCCCAATGATTAGTGACGTTGAGCATCTTTTCATTGTTTGTAAGCCGTTTGTATATCTTCTTTAGAGAAATGTCTATTCAAGTCATTTGCCCATTTTATATTTATTTATTATTTTCTTACATGTCTTTAATGTTTTAAAAAGTTGTATTCATTTATGGTGTACAACATATTTTGATATATGTATATATTATGGAATGACTAAATCAATCTAATTAACATATCCATGGCTTCAAATACTTTTTTTTTGTGGTGAGAACATATAAAACCTACTGACTTAGCAATTTTCAAATGTATGGTACCTTATTGTTATCTGTAGTCACCATGTTGTACAATAGATCTCCAGAACTCATTCCTTCTACCTAACTGAAACTTTGTACACTTTGACCTATATCTCCCTATCCCCTTCACCCCCACCTCTGGTAAACACTATTCTAATCTCTACATCTATGAGTTCAACTTTTTTAATTCCACAGATAAGTGAGATCACACAGTATTTGTCTTTCTGTGCCTGGCATATTTCACTTAGCATAATGTCCTCCAGGTTCATCCATGTTGTTGCAAATGGCCGTATCTTCTTTTTTTTAAAGGCTGAATACAATATTCCATTGTATGCATATATACAACAATTTCTGTGTCCATTCATCTATCAGTGGACACATATCTTGGCTATTGTATATAATGCTGCATTGAACATAGAAGCACAGATGTTTGCATAAGATGCTGATTGTATTTGTTTTGGGTGTATACCCAATAGAGGGATTGCTGGGTCGTACGGTAATTCTATTTTTAATTTTTGGAGGTTCCTCCAAACTATATGTATGAATTTACATTCTCACCAACAGTGTACAAGGGTTCCCTTTCCTCCACATCCTCACCAATCCTTGTTATCTCTTATCTTTTTGATATTAGCCATCCTCACAGGTGTGAGGCATTTATTGTGGTTTTGATTTTTGTTTCCCTGATGATTAGTGATGTTGAGCACTTTTTTCATATACCTGCTGACCATTTGAATACCTTCTTTGGAAAATTGTCTATTCAGGTCTTTTCCCCAGTAGAACTATTTCCTTTTCGAAGTGTTTGTGGTTAGTGTATATACGTGCACCTGATTTTTGTGTGTTAATTTTGTATTCTGCAACTTTGGTAAATTCATTTATTAGTTTTAACAGGTTTTCAAAAATAAACTCTTTAGGGTTTTCCACATATAAAATTATGTCATCTGCAAACTGAGATACTTTTACTTCTTCCTTTCTAATTTGGATGCTTTTTATTATTTTTTTTCTTGCATAATTGCACCAGCTAGGACTCCTAGTACTATGTCAAATAGAAGTGACAAAAGTAGGCATCCTTGTCTTGTTACTGATCTTGGAGGAAAAGCTTCCAGTCTTTCACCACTGAGCATGATGTTAGCTGTGGGCTTTTCATACATGACTTTTATAATGTTGAAGCATCTGAGCCTACTGTTTTTGAAATCTTCTTTTTCAACTTAATGTGTCATCTACGTGTCCATGTCATTATTACTCTAAAATATAATATTAAAGGATGTATTTAATAAGTTTTGATTAAACAAAGTGTTCTAGTTGTAGAAAACCCAGAAAACACTGCTATGTAAAAGATTTTCAAAAATCACTCATGCTTCTTTCTGTGGAGGCCCCTGTGTGTATTCTGAAAACCATTTGTTCTTATGTGTTTATTTTTAAGTTAAACAACTTTTATTGAAGTGTAACATATATCAAGAAAAGCACACAGGCCAGTCGCGGTGGCTCATGCCTGTAATCCCAGCACTTTGGGAGGCTGAGGCAGATGGATCACTTGACGCCAGGAATTCAAGACCAGCCTGGCCAACATGGTGAAACCCTGTCTCTACTGAAAATACAAAAATTAGCCATGCATGATGGCATGCGCCTGTAATCCAGCCACTCGGGAGGCTGAGGCAGGAGAATTGCTTAAGCCCGGGAGGCAGAGTTTGCAGTGAGCCAAGATCATGCCACTGCACTCCAGCCTGGGCAACAGAGCAAGACTCCATCTCAAAAAAAAAAAAAAAAAAAAAGAAAAGAAAAGAAAAGGCAAAAGCAAAAAAAAAGGAAAGCACACAAATGGTAAGTACACAGCTCCATGAATTTTTGCAAAGTGAACACAGCAATAAAATCCCACACAGATGAGAAATAGAGCCTGGCCCGCATGCACCACAGAAGTGCTTTCCTCGCCCTCTCACTCACCACCCCTGACAAGGATGACATTTTTCTGACTTCTAGCATCACAGATGAGTTTGTCTGATCTTGCATGTTATATAAGTAGAATCGGACTGGCTGTGTTTTTGATGTCTGGCTTCTTTTGCTCAGCCTCATACTTGTGAGATTAATCTATTTTTTGCTTATAGAAGTTCATTTTTATTGCCATAGAGTATTCCTTAATAGGAATATATGAACAATGTATTTGTGTGCATTCTATACTTGATGGACATTTGAGCTCTTTCCTTTCTGGGGCTATTACAAACAGTCTGACCATAATCATTCTTGTATATGTCTTTTGGAGCACATAGCTAGGCATTTTGTTGAAGATATACTTAGAACATTCTGTTTTAGTAGTTGCCATAGAGTTTTCTAAAATGGTTGGCCAAACTCTACTCCCAACAGCAATGTTTCATCATTCAGTAGTTCCATTTTCTTGCCAAAACACAGTATTTTCAGTTCTTGTTGCTTTAACCATCCTGGCAGGTATGTAGTAGTATTTATTTATGGTATTAACTTGCATTTTTGCCTTTTTTTATGTTTATTGGCCACTTGGAGAGCCTCTTTTGTGAAATACCTATTAGAATCTCTTGCCCATCTTTTAAAATATTGGACTGTCTTTTCTCAGCTCTTTGAAGTGCTTTTTAAAATGTATTCTGGTTTCGAGTCATTTGTCTTACATATGTTTTGAACATATTCTTCCATTCTATGACTTGCCTTCTCACTCTTCTAAATGGTGTCATTTGATGAACAAGAGTTAACTTTAATACAGTCTAAATGATCATTACAAGAGTTAACTTTAGTGGAGTCCAATTGATCATTTCCTTTATGTGTCCTGTTTTAGAAACATTTCCTATTTTAAGATCATGACAATATTCTTCTGCGCTGTCTTCCAGAAACTGTATTGTTTTGCTTTTCATCATTTAAGCCTTTGGTCCAGCTAGGATTGGTTTGTGTGTATGGTGTGAGGTAGGGGGTGGTCAAGATGTTATTTCTCCATATGTTTATCTAATTCACTCAGCTATCTCTCCCCAACAGCTCTGTGGTGCCTCCTTTGTCTAAATCCAGTATATGTGTATATGTACACAGCTACTTTCTGGACTTTCTGTTCTCTTCCACTGGTCTATTTGTCCCATCCTGTGCTACGCTAACCTTATTATTAGAGCTTTATAATCGACCTTGGTCCTGGCGTTGTAAGTCTTCCATCTTCATCCTTTAGGGTGAAAAGCAGTAGAGAGTGTCAGGCTCACCTCGGTGCACTTACTTTTCCCCTGAGATCTTGGCCTTTAAACCCTGACTGCATCAGTTACTCCAGCTTTTATAGTTTTTCTATATAGTATCCAGCTTTTATAGTTTTTCTCAGCAGAAGAGTTGGTCTGATTCAAGCTGCTCGGCCATAGATGGAAGTGGAAGCTCGACCTTTAATTCTTTTAAAAAAATGGTTTTATTGTGATAAAACACACATAACATTGACCTTTTTAGCCATTTTGAAGGGTACATTGCAGTAGCAATAAGTACATTCACAGTGATGTGCACCATTTGCTATCTAGCTTCAGAACGTTTTCATCACCCCAAATGGAAACAGCCATACCCATTAAGCAGCCATTCCCCCTGCCCTGCTCCCAGCCCAGCCATTTATTTTTACTCCTAACC
Source organism: Homo sapiens (assembly GCF_000001405.40). NCBI lineage: Eukaryota > Metazoa > Chordata > Mammalia > Primates > Hominidae > Homo > Homo sapiens. Next base: position 3,638,201 of record NC_000006.12, on the reverse strand, counting down.
AGCAACATTAGTAAACGGTCTTAAATTCCCAAGGTGCTTTAGAGGCATATCCCTTAATTATCACAATGGTTTGGTTGGCTGGTTATGGTTATCCCCACAAGCCAGAGAAGGAAAATGGGACCCAGAGAAATCTCACTGGTTTCACAGCTAAGAGCTGTTTATCTGGGGGGTCTGAACTTGCTTCCCAAACAGAAGCCTTGACGCCTCAATATTTTCTTGGCAGAGCGAGTAATGTGTAATATTTAAAGAGGAAGGCTCCGGAAGTACAGGCAAATTTACAAACAACAATAATGAAAAGTTGGAGTTCATATATGACTGCCTTTAAGAAGCTGCTAAATATATTAAATATAACTAAACACATTTACTTCTCTGGATCTATAATCTTCGTTTGTATTAAGGATTCTTGTATTCAAATTATTGCCTGATTTGAAAGCATCCAGTTCCATTTTTAAGAACAACATCCAGAAGTCATGACATGACCTTTACACATGGTTTTAAATTCCCATCTTCCCCTAGGTTCATACTCTCAAGAGCACATGTGTTAATAATGCAAAATCTAGGACTACCTAAGAGAGATGCAGCAGGCAATGGACTTTTGGAATGTAAAACTTCTTGCTTTGCCAACCCATTTAATTCACTACTTAGTGAGAAGGATGACCTTGGAAACCGTGGAGTCCTCTCCACCATGGAGCTGCAGACTCCCAAGCTCTGTGGAGGCTGCAGGATCCCAGTGACTCATCTGAGGAGTGGAGAAGTTCAAAGACCCTGTTTTTCACATGGAACCATGAACGCTGTTGGCCTTGCTCCCTGAATGAACCAGTGGTCAGGTAGGAGAGGGGAGTGAACCTCCACTTTGTTAGCCTCATGGTTCCAGAATAATCTAGGAGCAGAGCTGACTAAGGAAAAGGCTAGGGCTGCAGGTCAGGTCGTGCCAAGACCACAATGCATGGGACTCATGTGAGTTTCCTATCACTGGCTCAGGGCTGTTTCTGTGTGGTCCTGAATTACAAGAAGCTAGCACATCTTTTCCTAAGAAGGATTGAGGCTCGCTGGCTCTGCTGGAACAAATGCATCGTGAAATGAATGCACGGAGACTCAGAACAGGCCTGGGGATGCACTGGAGTGAAGCCTGCAGGAGTTAAGTTGGGGCGGTGTCCTCACTCCACATGTTACAATGGCTCCTGGGTGACAGGAGACAAGTTTGGTCCTGGCCCTTAGCCTCATGCTTACAGTGCTCCCCAACCCCCCAAAAAAGAGTTGACAAAACTGAATCCTGAGACACATGGGAAATCATTTTGAGCGGCCTGCTTGGGGCTAGTCTTAGGCAGAATGATAACTTAGTATCAATGATGACAAATGGCCAGCACAGTGGCTCACACTTGTAATCCCAGCCCTTTGGGTAGCCGAGGTGGGAGGATTGCTTGAGCCCAGGAGTTTGAGATCAGCCTGAACAACATAATGGGACCCTGTCACTACAAAAAATTTAAAAATTATCTGGGTGTGGTGGTATGTGCTGGTGGTTCCAGCTACTCGGGAGGCCAAGGTGGAAGGCTCGCTTGAGCCCAGGAGTTTGAAGATGCAGTGAGCTATGATCACACCACTGTACTCCAGCCTGGGTGACATGGTGAGACCCTGTCTCTTAAGAAAAAAAAAAGTAATGATAAATAATGAACAATAACATTAGTCACTTTACATGTGCCAAAAAATATCCACAACCGATGTCTCACTTTATCCCCCATCTTGTCCTGTGGGGTGGGTAGGTATCACCAGATCTTACTGATATGAAGATGAAGGATGCAATGGGGCTCAGCTGAGACGCAGGGTGAGCCCAGGATTTCCTGGAGCCGTGCTGATGGGTGTTCTTGTCTCCATCCCCCCTCTCCTCGGGCGAGTGCCTTCTTTCCTGCCTTTCTTCCATCCTCAGGTCTGCTGATCTCTGCTAAGATACTAACCAATAATTAACATGTGACACAAAGCCACACTGGAAGCTGGAAAATTCCATGCAGTTGAAAAAGAGCCTCCGTATCTGGTTTCCCACAGGGAAGGTGAATAATGGAGTACCTGGCCACCTTTTTGAAACCCCTGCTCCGTGTCATGGAACGTGTGGCTGCCAAGGATACTTCTCACATATCGAAAGTTCTAATGCAACGGAAAAGGATATTCTTTATTCTGGGACTGTCTCCAGCACCTAGTGTGCCACCTGGCCATGCTGTAGGGAGACCCTCTGTGGAACCAGCGTGCCCCTGACCCTGCCCTCTGCCCTGACTGGAGCTGGGAGGATTCTTCACCCAGGGCGGCCACTGAGGCAGCAGCTGGTGGGAGACCCCAGTAGAGAATAACCAAACCAGCCTCTAATTGCCAAACTGGAGCTGGCACTAGACACCAAGAGCACCTGGGTGTCATGAGGGATGGGAGAGAGAGGACAGCAAGCAACTAATTGGCAGCAGAGCCCACTCCTCCTGTCGGTGGATTCTCCCTAGTTGCTCTCCAGTGGGGCACTAGAGGCAACACAGATTGCAGCCAAGATGGTCTGCACGTGGTGCAGGGGCTCTGCCAGGGCAGCTGCTGCTCAGGACTGTAGGAGCAATGTTGCTTGGAATTGGAGTCTCCTCCAAAGAAAGCACAGCTCACACAGATCTTAGTGAGAAATAGCAACAATAACTGCCACCATCATGCCCCTGCCACGTGGCAGGCTCCGGGGTACACCCTTTCCAGGCATTACTCCATTGGCAGCAAGCATATAAGTGGGGCTATTATGATCTTCACTTTAAGGACAAGAGGAACAAGGCCACAGAGGTGAGGTGACTTGCCCATGTTACTCAACAGTCGTAAAATGAAAGCCACATTCTGATCTGTCTCATCTGTCACTTTCTTTTTTAAGTTAATATACACTTTTTTCCCATATCAGTGTGTACAGATCCACTCCATGCTTTTCAGTCGTTGTGTGTGTTCTGTTTTGTAAATATACCATAATTATTTAAGGAAAACCCTGATAAAATGAATTTTGGTTATTTCAGTTTCTCAACGTTACACACTATGATAATGGACATTCTTGCATATATATATGTGTGTATATATATATACGTATATATATGTGTGTATATATATACGTATATATATGTATATATACGTATATATATACGTGTATATATACACGTATATATATACACGTATATATACGTATATATATACACGTATATATACGTGTATATATACGTGTATATATATACACGTACATATATATATATATATCTCTTTGCACATGTGTGCAAGGTATGTAGAGTTTATATTCCTCAAACTGAAATGCTAGGTCAAAAGTTATTATTCCTTTAACTGAAATGAGAGTCACATAACGTAAAATTCAACATTTTAAAGAGTACAACTCAATGGGATTTAGTACATTTACAATAACGTGCAACCATCACCTCTATCCAGCTTTAAAACATTTTCATCATCCCAAAATAAAACTTCATAACCATTAAGCAATTACTCTCCTTTCCCTCCTCATCCCAGCCCCTGGCAACGACCAATCTATTTTCTGTCTCTGCAAATTTGCCCATTCTGGATATTTCAAATAAATGCAATTATGCAATATGTGACCTTTGTGCCTGGCTTTTTCCACTTAGAATAATGTTTCTGAGACTCCTCCGTATTGGAGCATGTATCAGTACTTCATTCACTTTTGTGGCTGCATAATATTTCCTCATCTGCATACACCACAAATATTCATCTATTGAACATTTGGGTTGTTGCCCTCTTTGGGCTACTATGCATAGTGCTGCTATGAACATTTGTGTACAAAAGCATTTGTTTGAATGCCTGTTTTCAAATTTGTGGGTACATACTTAGGAGTTAAATTCCTAGATCGTTGTGGTTAAAATTGTGACGGGCATTGGCAAAATGCTCTTGAAAAATTGTGTCATTGTGCACTTCTGCTAAAAGTGAGGTAGAATATAGGTCTTCTCACAGTGCTGCCAATACTGGCTATTCTCAAAACGTTTCATATTTGCCAGTCCGATTGCGGGAATAAAAGATACATTATTTTGCCAACTTTTAATTTTTAGTTAGAGGGCAGTTGGGCACCCAGGCAGCATTGCTAGTTGCCCACTTTGTATTTGTTTCTCTTTCTATTTTGTTAACAGAATCCTGATTTTGTTTGGAAGGACAGCGTGCCTGGTTCCAGGTAATTGATCATGATGAGTCGAAGCTGGAGGTTCTCTATTGGAGGGTGGTGCTGCCCCTCAGGAGGCCTTGGGAAACGTGGGAAGGTTTGCAGCAGCCACAGTGTTGGGGAGTGGGTGCTGGCATTTCATGTCCATGGGTCAAGACTAATAACTGCCCCATGACTGGTGAAACAATCCTCTCCACAAAGAATTTTCCATCCTCAAAGGCAGAAAGTGCTCTGTTGAGAAACACGGGCAGCCAATCTACCAGGATTTAGCCAAACTCAGGGTTAAGGGCGCAGTCCTCCATAAGACTGCCTTCACTTCAGAGGTTTAGAGGTCCCAGGGGCACCCTCACTTCTGCCCAGCTGGCTACAAATTCAGGGCCCCCCATGTCCACCCTCAGGTCCAGAACTCCCTGACAGCACTGGACTTACAATTTTATTATTGCAAAGGATACAAACCAGAGCCAGCCAAAAGAAGAGACACTTGGGGCCGAGTCTGGGAGGGCTCCAAACACAGAGCTTCCATCGTCCTCGGGAACACATTACCGTCCTGGCACATCAGTGCTCGGGAGCACAGAGTTTTTCTTGGGGCTTCATTATATAGTCACGATTAATTGAATCATTGGCCATGAGGCTTAACTCAGTCTCCAGGCTCCTCCCCTGCCCAGAGGTTAATCTGGTATCACATAACTTAAAACCCCAACCCTCTATCATATGGTGGGTCTTTCTAGCATGTCCAGCCCCCATCCTGAGTCACTTTGTTAGCATAAACTATCAGGTGTGGTCCTAGGAGCCCACCATGAAGAACAAAGGCACTCCCATCACCTGGGAACTTGCGAGGGTTTAGAAGTTACCTCCCAGGACCTGGGAACAAAACCAACCTAATTATTCATTGCACATCAATCTTCTGTTGCTCAGCCTCTCTTGCGGCTAGAGGTGGTCTTAGAACACAGTTCTAGCTGGTGAAACCTAAATGGAAGTTTGCTGGGGTTGATAGGAAAGCTCTTGCTGTTTTTTGTTCCCACCTCTCAGCCCCAAACCAATCCCTCTTCTTTGTCTTGAACTTGGGTGTAATATATGAAGCTGTGTTACAACTTGTGTTGAGTAAAGTGAAGGAACAAATACATAGAAAGAGCTTTGTTCCCCCATGGTGTTTTTTCATGCTGAACCGATGCCAGTAAGTGCTCCTGCCTTCCTGGTTTGGATTTTTTGGTATGTGAGAATGTAAACCCAAATTAGTTTGAGCTATTGTTAGTTAGGTGCTCTTTACTTACAGCCAAGAGCTCTCCTGACACAGCATCTTGTCATATGGTTATGGGCCACTTGGTTCTTTTTTTTCTGAGAAACATCTGCTCATATCTTTAGCCTACTTTTTTCTATGGGATTATTTTATCTTTTCTTACTGGCTTGCTAGAGAGGTTTGCATATTAGAGGAATTATCCCTTTGTCTAAAATATGTGTTGCACAATTATTTTTTCTATAGTACATCATTTGTCTTTCAACTTTCTTAGGGTGGTTTTTCTCTACAATTTTTTGCCATTTTAATATAGTCATGTTTGTTCAAGTCTTCCTTTTTGGCTTCTGAGTTGTGTGTCATTCTTAGAAATGCCTTATTTCTTTCAGAGGTATAAAAATACTCTGTGGGGCTTTAAACATTATTTTTGTTATAGGAGTTCCCCCTTATTTCATGTTTCACCTTCCATGGTTTCTGTTAGCTGTAATCAACTGAGGTCCAAAAATATTATATGGAAAGTTACAGAAACAAACAATACATAAGTTTGAAATGGCATGCCATTCTGGGTAGTGTGATGAAATCTCATGCCATCCTGCTCCATCCCACCCAGGACTTGAATCATTCGTTTGTCCAGCATCTCCATGCTGTGTACGCTACCCGCCTGTTAGTCATTGACACTGTCTGCTCCTGACATCCACCCATCAATATTGTCATTGCTCAATGATCCAGGATCACCGAGAGCAGATGAGCCTCCTGATGCATGGTCAGAAGGTCAATAGTAGCTTACTTCTCCGTCACAACGCCTGAGTTATTCACCTCACCTCACCTCATCACATGGCCATTTGAATCATCTTATATCATCACAAGAAGAAAGGTGAATACACAATAAGATATTTTGAGAGAGAAAAAGAGACCGCATTCACCTAATTTTTATTGCAGTATATTGTGATAATTGTTCTATTTTATTATTGGTTATTGTTGTTAATCTATACTGTGCCTAATTCATAAATTAAACCTTATCATATATACAGGAAAAAACATAGTGTATATAAGGTTCAATACTATCCTTGGTTTCAAGAATCCACTGGGGGTCTTGGAACATGTAAGGTGGTGGGGGGACTACTGTATACTTAAACATTTAAAAAATTTAAACTTGTCATATGTTATTTGTTATATTTAAACTGTATTATATTTCGTTGTATTAAGACTCATTTTGGCATAAGAACAGAATTAGAAATAGTAACAGGTAGCATTAAACACTCACCAGGCACTGTTTTCCTTCTTTACAAGACTCATTTAATCTTCATATGAGAAAGCAGATCCTGTTATTATCTTCATCTAAGAGGGGAGGCACTGAAGCTTCCAGGGGCAAAGTTCCTTAACTGAGGTCTCACGCCTACAGAGGGAATAGCCCAGCCTTGAGCCCAGGAGCCTGAGTGCAGAGTTTGCTTTCTTAAGCACAGGGCTCTACCAATGGAATTACGACAGCCCAGTGGATTTCTCAGTTGTATTTCTCCCATTCTGTTTCTGCATGATATGTGCCATGAGGTGTTTCTGTCTTTAGAAAATGGCTCAATAGGCCGGGCATGGTGGCTCAGGCCTATAATCCCAGCACTTTGGGAGGCCAAGGCAGGCGGATCACCTGAGGTCAGGAGTTCGAGACCAGCCTGGCCAACATGGTGAAACCCCATCTCTACTAAAAATACAAAAAGCCGGGTGTGGTGGCGGGTGCCTGTAATCCCAGCTACTCAGGAGGCTAAGGCAGGAGAATCGCTTGAACCTGGGAGAAGGAGGTTGCAGTGAGCGGAGATCGTGCCACTGCACTCCAGCCTGGGCAACAGAATGAGACTCCGTCTCAAAAAAGAAAAAGAAAATGGCTTATTAGATATGTTTTGATTCCATCAATCTCTGCATGCACTTCCTACTTACTCTTTGCTGTATCCGAAAACTTACTTTAGGACTTGGGACCTGGAATGGTTAAGTTAATGCTGGTTCCTCCAGCTGCCTCAGGTTTGGGCTATTTGCTGTAGCGGACGTGTTTTAAGGGTGCGTGGCATTTGTAACACACACAGACATAGAGATGATTCCCATGAATAAGTTTGTTCTGCTCACAGATCCCTAGAAACAGGAAACACAGCCTGCCATGCAGGGCCACATGAGGAAGCACCAAGGCTGGTCAGGGGGCAGACAGAGCAGAGGAAATCCTGGGCAAAAGCTTTTATTGTGGTTTCTGCAGGGAGGAACAGGGAGGCAGGGTGCATGGGCTTAGGAATGGGGCCAGGCTGAATAATTTCAGAGCTCTGGGCCATAGGGGCTGTCCCTGGTTAATGGCCCTGGGGGCTCAGGGCAGGCAAATACTGGCCCTGAGTGTGAGGTCCTGATAAGGGAGTTGGTTGGAGGCGTGGATTTGGGATTAGCTGGTTTGTATGTGAAAGGTGTGTTAGTAGTGTAATTGTTTGCCATCTCCACAGATTAGCTAGTCCTGGGGTGGAGTGGGGAACAGTCCCTCTAGGGTCAGCAAAGCCCCAACATGTCAAAACATCAAAAATGCAGAATGGAGAGATGTGGGTACTACAAGACAATTATTCCTCTGTCTGCCCTGCACTTTTCTCCTCTTAGGCTTTCCTCTCCTCTGTGTTATGATAGGGGTAGCAGACACCATCTTCTCACATCGCCTCCATGGTTTAGTGATTAACTGAGGGGTGGGCTTCTGATCCCAGGTGGCAAAGGTCCATTTCTAGAATTTTTTTTTTTTTGAGTCGGAGTCTCGCTCTGTCGCCCAGGCTGGGGTGCAGTGGCGCGATCTCCACTCACTGCAAGCTCTGCTTCCTGGGTTCACGCCATTCTCCTGCCTCAGCCTCCTGAGTAGCTGGGACTACAGGTGCCCGCCACCATGCCAGGCTATTTTTTTGTGTGTGTGTTTTTAGTAGAGACGGGGTTTCACCATCTTAGCCAGGATGATCTCGATCTCCTGACCTCGTGATCTGCCTGCCTCGGCCTCCCAAAGTGCTGGGATTACAGGCATGAGCCACCGTGCCCGGCCCATTTCTAGAATTTTTAGAGTGGAACTGGGATGGGTTACAATATAGAGAGAAGCACAAAGGAGAGGGAGAGAGGGGAGCCTGGGACATCTGAATCCTGGATCCAGTCATCCCTGAAGCTAACTCTATGTCTGTCCTTGATAGCAAGAGTCATTAACTTGCTCTTTTGCCTAAACTAATTTGAATTGGATTTTCTTCATTTGCATTTTATCTTTATGGAAGAGAAAATATATGCATGTGTTAATTTATTCTTGGAAAGTTCCACGGTGGCTTCTGAAGAGATGCTGAAACACCTAAGTAGCTTCTCTCATACAAGGTGGCATTTCAAAAATTTCCTAAATAACTCACAGGTGCCCGGGTAAAAATTAAAAGGGACTGCACTGTCACGGCAAAATAAAAATTAGTAGATTCAGTTGTGTTTAATCATCTCTGTTTTAAGAACCTGCATTGACCTTACTGAAGGGGTAAATCGAGTACTAATACATCGCAAGACGTGTGAGGGAGTGCTGGTGGGAACCCCCGTTTGCTAAGGCCCTTGGCAATCAGAAATAGGTTTCAGGAAAGTGATATTGCAGGCAATTAGGCAAGTCATTCTCCAGCATCTCTGAGAAAGAGATAGCGTCCCCCTACCCACCTCTCCGAGACAGGGATGTTAACGGCAGCTCCTCTCTACTGTCTGCTGCTGGTGCTTGGAAATGAGACGTGTGTGGGAACTACAAGTGGAATACCAGGAATCTCACTGCACTCGCTTGGATGAGGAAGACAGCCTGGCTCCACTCTCAGAGACACCAGCCCAGGCTGCCATTTAATGGTCCTTTCATTAAATCATCTTTTCCAGCGCTGGCAAGCCCATCCATGACTCTGTGTTTCTCCCTTGCCTATCCTCACCTTCCTTCTAACCTCCCTCTTTTGTATGCAACTTGAAATGTTCAAGATTTAAAAATAAAAATACATCGTAGGCACTCTTGGCCTATGCACCGCTTTTTACAAAGGAAATCAAGCTTTAAATAAAAGGCAGGAAACTGCTCAGCAACCCCGGCCCCTTTGAAAAGAACGGTTTCTCTGTGCTATTAAGCTGGGGGCACCTCTGCTGGTGGGGCTTGAGTGGCAGCGGGTACAGCATACAGCTACTCAACGTAACCACAGTCACACCCACTCACATTGTCTCCTCAGCCCTGTCTTTTGGAGTTTGGGCAGATGTCCCAGTAGATATTTTTACTTCTGTGACGCTAATAACAAATGACTTTAAAAGCACAATGCGGGAATCCTTCTCTAAATATTTCTGGACTAAAAAAGTATAATTGGCATTGCCAAAGCAAAGCCTCGCTGGCCCTTTTCCTGGTTTTGAATGCGTGACCTCTGCCTGTGGTTCTTTTTCTAACACCTGAACATCCCTCCTCCGTGGAATACAGGTGTGGCATTGTTCCTGTTGCCCTCTGCAACCTGCTTCCTGGAACCCTCAGCGGGAGAGGACAAATACTTAGATAATCACCACACAAATGAAGATCTCCTTTCATTTCCATGTGCGTCCAATTTGGGAACAAAACTCGACACTCAGCTGCAGTCGTCCTTGTTATTAATTATTCATCCATTCATCTATTCAGCTACGTGTTCCATAAACATTTATTAAGTGCCAATTATGTATGAATAAGGCATTGTCTCTGCCCCCTTGTCTGTGTCCTCCTGAAACTCCTGTTCTAATTACGGAGACCTGGCTTGTGCATGAACAGCGAGGTTACAGTATGGGGAGTTTTGTCCCTGTCACCTCCCGCCTTTTGGAGGTTGTTGAGAACACCGCCTGCAAGGGGAGCCTCAGGGGTGCTTCCCGGGGCCAGGTGCAACAGCTCCCACCTCGCAGCACTTTGCGTCTCCTCCACATCTTTTTGGCATTATGGGTCCTTTTACTCTCCTCCTTCCCTCGTGAGGAAACAGGCTAATGGGGACTAAGTGACTTGTGCAAGATGACAGAGTGCGGATTAGAAACCAGGCAGCCTGACTCCTGAGTCTATGACCATCTTGTGGCAGTGTCCCCTCCTTGTAAAAGCAAATAACCACCAACAACAAAACCCTCTCTTGGCTTGGCAACGGTGACACCACCTTCTCCCGGTGTTTTCTTCACCGACTCCTCCCCTTCATTCACACAGCCCTGAAGGGTGCATCCGTGCTCCTCAAAAACCTCATTGGCCCTTGAGTCTTCTACACGCCCTGCCCAGGGGAACGTCTGCAACACATGCATATACAAGGGAGTATGGGAGTGCAGTGGAAAGATGGGGCTATTCTTGTTTAACTCTTTTAATCTGCAGAATGTATAAAGGGAATCATTATGTTTTACAGAATTTTCAGGAAGCATAAAGCATAATCTGCACTAACGCCTTTCATCCCAACACTTTGGGAGGCTGAGGCGGGTGGACTGCTTGAGCTCATGAGTTCGAGACCAGCCTGGGCAACATGGAAAAGTCCTGTCTCTACAAAAACTACAAAAATCAGCCGGGTGTGGTGGTACATGCCTGTAGTCTCAGCTACTCGGGAAGCTGAGGTGGGAGGATGGCTTGTGCCCGGGAGGCAGAGGTTGCAGTGAGCCGAGATGGCGCTACTGCACTCCAGCCTGGGCGACAGAGCCACAACTTGTCTCAAATATGTATATTTGCTGTCAAATATATATATATGTATATAAAATATATAATAAATATATAAAATATATATTTCTATATATAATATTTATATTATATATAAAATATATAATATATATAGCCTTTAGTGTGGAATATATATAATATATAAAATATATATTTAAATATAAATATAAATTTTTATATAAATAAAAATGTATATATATATATTTTATATCTATATCTATATATATTCCACACTAAGGGCTCTAGGCATTGTATGAACAAGGTGGTCCAGCATTATCACACACTGGACATGCCCATATTCAATGGAAAAAAAAATTTATTTTCCAACTGCCAGAATAAGTGGATGTCCTGTCAAGGGAGAAGGCTCTTTGGTCTGAGTCAGGACAGAAGACTCAGCTGGGACGCATCCCGCCTGCCAGGGAGATGCCCACATCTGCATGTGGCCCCTGGGAAAGGATTGCTGTGCTATAGCCAGTGTCCTGGTTTGGATTTAGTGATGTGAGTGTGCTGTCTTTCTTCCGTAAGGAGAGGGACCGTTTTTAAAAATCATCTTTCTACAAACTCCGCAGCACCCAGGATACGGTTGAATCTGTAGGTATTTAAAATGACTGGTTTGATAGCCCGCATGGCCTCTCATGTAAACATTCCGTAGCTCCTTATTTCTCAGCTCTCGAGGCACTTGGCTGGGTCTCTCCAGTAGCCTGGCTCCCAGGATGCCGCAGGCAGCAAAGGAAGGGGTGTCTTGCCACACGCTGAGTAGCTGGAAACACCACAATTACCTGACAACCAGCAGCAGGCGCCGGGCTGCAGGGGGCCCCCCGGGTGCCTTTTGTCCCCCTCTCCCGATACTGCTCCCTTTGTGAACAACTGCACTGGCCTAGAGACCCCTCTGCTTCCAGGGCTTTCCTCAAGCCCCAGAAGTTCCCTCATTCACTTACCATGCCAACACCCACGCTGTGCTCACTGGGAGATGGCGAGTCTTCCGTGAGAAACCATCCTTTTCCTGGGTGGCACTGGTGATATCCATATTTAAGGCATTTAATAACTGTGGGATGTCTCTGCTGAATGCAAGAGAAGGGAGAATTTTGGAGAACTGTATGCAGTCCCATGTGGGCATCTCTGCCTTTCTTTGATCCAGGTGCACTGAGGGTGGTGAGGAAGGCCGCCTGTGGAGGCTGGAGAGAGCTGGCAGGCTGGGCGTGGGAAAGGGCCCCGGGCTGGAGAGAATGCAGGCGACCAGGTGGCCAGTTCCTTCACACCTGCCTGCTGCTGCTGGAGTTTGTCCCAGGCCAGCAGTATGGACTGAAAGAACAGGCATCCTAGTGTTCCCGGGGCCACTACTCTGTATTCCTCATGCCCAGCATGCTCCTGTTTCATCCATTTTTATGGAGGAGGGCAGAGCAGCATGCGTGAGTGGTGAGGTAGAGAAAAGAGAGTCCACACAGCATGCAGGAGGTCGGGACTCGGCGGCAGGGCTGCCAGACAAAATGCAGGATGCCCAGTTGCATCTGAATTCCAGATAAACAGCAAATAAGGTTTTAGGATAAGTGTGTCCTTAATATCACTTTATATTCTCACATGCTGAATCTGGGGGCCCTATTGTATCATCACTAAGCTTCTTTTGACTTTGTCAAGATAACCTCTCCCATTCTTGCAGCTTCCCAGCTGTGGCGCCCCCCGGCTGCCTCTGTTTCCAAGACCGGGGGGCCCTATAGCAGTCTGCAGGGCCGATGCATCTCCACACACTCGGACAAGTCAGAGGCTTCTCTGCCTCTGCAGCTCAGCCCTGGCAGGTTTGCCATGAGTGGCGATTTAAACGCTGCCTTGCTGGTGTGAAGCTGTGGAATTCCCTTGGGCTCCTGAGTGGGAGAGTTGTTTAAAATTCATGATGCTCCTTGAATTTTAATTGGGTGTGAGTAACCTGGGGACCTAGTTAAAATGCCAGTTCTGATTCAGTGGGTGTGGATGGGGCCTGAGATTCTGCAATTCCAGCCAGCTTCCAGAGGATGTTTAATGTGGCAGGTTAGAAACCCAGAGTGAGTTTAGGCTTCAGGCAGTGTAACTGACATCCTAAACAGCCTCAACTCAGTTATGGCTCCTGCTAGGGGCTGAATTATGTCCCCTCCCCACCCCCACCCCCAAATTCATAGGTCAAAGTCCTAATAGAATTCAGAGACACATACAGAGGGAGACCAAGTGAGTGCCCCTGAGGAAGACGCCCGTCTACAAGCCAAGGAGAGAGGCCACAGAGGAAACCAATCCTGACATCTTGATGTTGGATTTCCGGCCTCCAGAACTGGAGGCATAATACATGGCTGTTGCTTAAGCCACCCAGTCTGTGGTATTTTGTAGGGCAGCCCTAGCGGGCGAATACAGGGTCCTTTGTGGAAGTCATGGGGCAGGGTCCCCTGAGGCACCTTGAAAGTAAAGGAGAAACAGCTCTCAGGGACTCAGCTGCAAGTCATTAGTAACTAAGCGGAACAGCTGTCTTCAGCAAAGCTTGACCTGGATCCCAGAACTGAAACAGCGGGAGAAACAGAACTCTCACCTTCCTTAACCTGGATCCCAGAATTTAAACGGTAGGAGAAATAGAACTCTCACCCTTCTTTTAACACTTTCAGCTCTCATGAGGGAACAGGGAGCAACCCCCTGCCCACAGCCCAGCCGCATGGACGGACTCTAGCATTCTCCCCTCAGGCTCTCCCTTGCCTCCGCCCCCACCCAGCCAGCCACAGTCCTCTGTCCCCAGTCTGGGGAGGCCGTGGGCTTCACAGCTTCTCTCTCTAGCTCTCTGATTTTCCCAAGTCACTCATGGCATCGTGATGCTCTCGCTTTTTCTGAGTCTGGGCTTTTGAAAAGAAAGACACCCAGGCTGTTGCAACTCTAAAAGTCTTTTCTTCTGAAACCATCGCCTCTGTTAAGAGGTTTTTTAAAGCCTCTCTTGAAATTCAAATCTGAGCGTTGACTCTATTTTTGCTCTCGCCTTCCTGTTGCGACAACCGCAGGGCAAGTGCAGGGAGCCTAGGAGAGCATTCCCGATGCCTGAGTGGGAGGGAAAAGGCAGGGGTGAGGAGGGCGAGGAGAGACACACACAAGGTTTAACACCACTAAGCATTACTCCGCTGCACATGAGATATTTCCGAACATTTCAATCTTGTTTAATTTTCCTGCTGTACCAGGACTGCTTCCCCAACAGCAGGCGATGGAGTCCCTGAGATGCCTGCTAAAAATACAGACCCCTGTTCACAAGGGCCAAGAGGTGGGAGCAACCCAGGTGTGTACGGATGGATAAATGGATAAGCAAAATGTGGTCTAGCCATGCAACGGAATGTCCTGCAGCCTTGAACAGGAAGGAAATCTTGACGCGCGCCGCAGCATGGGGGAGCCGCAATGAGGACGTTATGCTAAGCCAGTCACAAGTGCATGATTCCACTCAGAGGAAGGACCCAGAGTCGTCAAATTCAGAGACACAGAGGTAGAACTGGGGTTTCCAGGGGCTGAGAGGAGGGGCAGTGGGGAGATGTTCTTTAATGAGGACTGAGTTTCAGTTTGGGGAGATGAAACGAGTTCTGTGGCTGGGTGGTGGTGACGGATGCACAACGATGTGAATGTACTTAACGCGACTGAACGGCACACTTAAAAATGTTTAAGATGAGGCCGGGCGCGGTGGTTCACGCCTACAATCCCAGCACTTCGGGAGACCGAGGGGGGCGGATCACTTGAGGTCAGGAGTTTGAAACCAGCCTGGCCAACATGCTGAAACCTGTCTCTACTAAAAATACAAAAATTAGCCTGGCGTGGTGGCGCGTGCCTGTAATCCCAGCTGTTTGAGAGGCTGAGGCAGGAGAATTGCTTGAAGCTGGGAGGTGGAGGTTGCAGCGAGCCAAGACTGTGCCACTGCATTCCAGCCTGGGCAATAAGAGCAAGACCCCATCTCAAAAAAAAAAAATTGCTTAAGATGCTCAATTTTATGTTATGTCTATTTTACCACAATTTTAAAAATTAGGGTCACCGTCTGCAGCAGACAGAGCTAAGCACTCGCCTCTGCCTTTTAAACTCACACACGGTGCTTAGCCTTGAAGCTCAAGTTCCGACTTTAGACACCTTGGCTGTATAAAGTTCTCAAAGGGCACGAAGATGTCGGTCTAACTGTGGAGGAAATTCTCCAAATCATGGGGTTTTAAATCAAAGCTGTGTTCAAGGCAGCTCAGTGTATTTATCTTCTGTCCATCTTTAAATCAGAGACAGAGCTGGGAAAGGAATCCCGCCGGCTAAACCCAGCCTCTCCATGGCAATCTTGTAAAATATCACCACGGTTTCTTCAACATCACCAACTGCCAACTCCAATCTCTTCGTCAAATATTGGGTACATACAGTGCCTTGAAAGAGAGGTTTTTATTCTGACACTTGCTCTGCTATGAAAACATTTTCATTCTTCCCTGCATCTTTTGTGGAAGTTGACTGAAAAGGAATCACTCCTCGTGACTCCCACTGGAAGGCCTACTCCACTGTGGCTTGGCCATAACGGGGAGAGCTTTCGAGAGTTAAGCAGTTGAAGTAAGGACTATTTTGCCAGACTCTCTGAGAGTGAGATGCCGAATGTGCATTGTAAACCATTATCCCAGATGAATCTGAAGTTGAAGAACCACCGTATAGTATAGACAAGAATGTCTAATTTTGTTCTTGGGAGAAGAATAGTAACCAATACCTGGGGTTAAATATTTACATGTTCCATACTTCAGGTGATCTCAGACCACAACTGGTAAGGTATATCCTGGAAGAAGCATCACCCTCCTTTTATAGCTAAAATAATGGAGCGAGAATATCATATAAAAGTTAAGCCTCAGCCAGGCACGGTGTCTCACGCCTGTAATCCCAGCACTTTGGGAGGCCAAGGCAGGAGGATCACCTGAGGTCAGGAATTCGAGACCAGCCTGACCAATATGATGAAACTCCATCTCTATTAAAAATACAAAAATTAGCCAGGTGTGGTGGCGCACACCTGTAATCCCAGCTACTCAGGAGGCTGAGACAGGAGAATCTCTTGAACCTGGGAGGTGGAGGTTGTGATGAACTGAGATCGCACCATTGCACTCCAGCCTGGGCAACAAGAGCGAAACTCCATCTCAAAAAAAAAAAAAAAAAAAAAAAAAGTTAAGCCTCATAGCGTCTGGCAATTTGGGTTCTTGAAGCTAGAGCCTTTTGTTCCTTCTTCAAACCCCCATGGCCTTTCCTTTTCCTAGCAGATCTCCACCTAGTTCAGGTATTCATGCTCCTCTACCCAGAGAGGTCTGGGGTGGGGAAGATCCTGCTCAGGTTAAGCCGTGCTTGGTGCTGGGTAAGCCCAGTTTAAAATAAAAACAATTATAATGATGAGTGAGGCCCGAATAGAACAAGCCAATCATGGTGGTGGTGGGGTGGGTTCCTGTTAGGATAAGCCCATTATGGTGGGTAGGTGGGAGGGGGCTTCTGATTGGAAGAAGCCAATCCTTCTAGACCATTCCGCTTGGGCCCTTGGCTCCATTCTGGTCAGTGAGACTAGAAGGGAGGGCTGGCCAGTGGAGAAGAAAGCAAAATGTGCATGAGTTCCTGGATATAGCAGGAGACTTCAAAGCAATTTGCCAGGCAAGACACTTTGTGCTCTCACAGGAGAATCCGAGCTTCAAAACACTGGGTCAAAGCTCCGGGAAGGGCTCTGTCACAGCCTGTCAGCTACTCAAGAGCAAAGCAGTGACCACCAGATTGTTATTTTTAATTGTTCATATTATTTGAACAAATTCTGTGATGGTGTGAAGAAGAGACTTCGGTGTCCTAGAACTTAACTGTGGCAGAGGTAGCATTCTCAGGCCAAATATAGATCTTAGGAATCCAGGTTTTAAATGAGGACTGACTGAGGTGCAGCCATTTTTCACAGGACTTTGAGCTGTGTGGAGGTGTCATGAGTGAGAGGCGGCAATTAGAGAAGGAGAGAAGCTGTCAGAGCAAGTGCAGGCTGAGGCTGGTGAGGCCTGGGGAGCAGGGAGCCCTAGGGAACCCATGGAGGGCAAATCCATGAGGATCAAGAAGCAGTGAGGCCCTCCCAGGAGGACAGGCTGAGCACCCCCTGTGTAGGGTGGGAGACATTTCCACGTGCAGAGACCAGGAAGTCCTGCAGGTGTTGATGTTAGGAAATGGCCTGGGCCCAATTTTATCTGATTATCCTGGTATGGCTTACAGACATATTTTTCAAGCTGTGGGTTGTGACCCTTTTAGTAGCTCATGAAATCAACTTAGTGGGTTGTGACCAGCTCTTAAATCAAGGCTGGAAGGTGGGTGAAATAGAATAGGAAGTCTCAGCACGCATTACACTTTTGACTATGTGGTGTGTCTAAGCGCATGTGGTATGTGTGTGTGCATGGAGAATGCATGTGCGTATGTATGTGTGTATAGTGTACATGCATGTATGTGTGTATTCATGTGTGTGTTGATGTGTATACACATGCATGTGTGTGGCATGTGTTTGTGTGTGTGCGCATGTGTGGTGAGTGTAAGTATGTGTGCATATGTGTATGTGCCTGTGTGTGTGCGCGTGCATGGTGTTTGTGTATACCATATTCCAATGTAAACATCTTTTTGCAGTGGTTGTGGTTGTGACCTGGAGGCTGGCCGGCCGCATTCTCAGAGTTGGGGCAGGAACTGGATGGAGTGGGGAGGTCTGTGTAACTGTTATCTGATTGATTGATTGATTGATTGATTGAGACAGAGTCTCACTCTGTCACCAGGCTGGAGTGCAATGGCATGATCTTGGCTCACTGCAACCTCCACCTCCTGGGTTCAAGTGATTCTCCTGCCTCAGCCTCCCCAGTAGCTGAGATTACAGGCATATGCCACCATTCCCAGCTAATTTTTGTATTTTTAGTAGAGACAGGGTTTCACCATGTTGACCAGGCTGGTTTCAAACTCCTGACCTCAGGTGATCTAACTGCCTGCCTCAGGGTCAGTGGACCTCAGTCTTGACTGTCCCCTCCTGTGTAGCAGTTCCCTTCAGAATGGTTCCATTGTTTGGATTTCTTTATGCATTTAAACATCATTGAAAATAGCAAAACCAACAAGACCAGCCAACCTGGAACGTGCCCAAACCAGAGAGTGCTTCATTCTCTTCGGGTCCCCTGGGCAAGAGATGATCAAACCCACTTAGAGACCCCGTGGTGTCTGTCAGCAAGGTGGGAAGAGGAGAGAAGCCGAAATTCAGAATGGCTAAGGCAGGGGAAAGGCTCACAAGACTTCCCTGCTCCTCTCCACCCTGAGGATTCCTGATGCTCTTCATACTTGAGTTTTTGCTTCCCTGAGACAACGCCAGCTGTTTAGATTTGGAAACCTCTTTCCAGGGGAAGCCTCACCTCTGTTCCGTGGTGGTAGAAAAACAGCTTTATTTAAAAATTAGATGATGCGGAGTGTTAGGCATTTTTAAGAGGGGAAAAAGATCCTCACCTCTTTTAATTCTCAAACACCGCTTGAATACACAGATTTCATGCTTGTGACACCTTTCTTCCTTCAAAGATGCTGCCGATTTCTGCCAGAGGCGGCTAGAGATTTTGTGCTCTGGGACACTCCTGCTAAGGATGTGTGTGGTTGTGAGCTGAGCTGGAGATTCAAGTGAGAGGACTGGGAGCCCAAACAGTGTGTCGATGGCAAATAAAACAGGCCCTGCTTCGCGGTGTCCATGGCCACCCCCGCCCCTCATAATGACCCTCCACTCCCCCACCCAGAAATAGGCTCCCCTCCAAAGGCACTGGGTGTATCCGAAGAGAATGATCTACACAAGGAGTAGCCTCCTTTCCTGGTTCCAGAAATCAGAATTAAGGGGGAACAGTTTGCCTGGAAGGGAGCCAAAGTCTAGAGTCTTTTGTTCCCTCTTCAAGTCCCTATGGCCTTTCCTTTTCCTAACATCTCCACCTAGTTCAGGTATTCATGCTCCTCCACCCAGAGAGGTCTGGGGTGGGGAAGATCCTGCTTAGGTTAAGCCATGCTTGGTGCTGGGTAAGCCCAGTTTAAGATAAAACCAATTATAATCATGGGTGAGGCCCGAATAGAACAAGCCAATCATGGTGGTGGTGGGGGTGGGTTCCTATTAGGATAAGCCCATTATGATGGGTGGGTGGGAGGGGGTTTCTGACTGGAAGAAGCCAATCCTTCTATACCATTCCCCTTGGGCCCTTGGCTCCATTCTGGTCAGTGAAACTAGAGGGGAGGGCTGTCTCTCCAGCTAGGTTGCTATCCTGACAACACCCGCTGGAAGCACGCTAGGACTGAGGCTGAGACAGGCCCTGTTTAGCCTGGAGTACCAGCCTTGCTCTCTAACCTGTAAGTCAGGCTGCCCTGTGACTGTGATTGAGTTTGTTTCCCTTTTGCTACTCCTGAGCTTTCAATAAAATTGAAATGGAATGTTCCCCAGCCTTGAATTAGCTGGCTGATGAAGAAAAAAAAAAAAAAAAGAAGGGGTCCTGGCTGGAGGAGTTTGAAACCAGCCTGGGCAGCATAGAGAGACCCTGTCTCTACAGAAAAATGAAAAATTACCCAGGCATGGTGGTATGTGCGTGTGGTCCCGGCTACTCAGGGGCCTGAGGTGGGAGGATTGCCTGAGCCCAGGTGTTCAAGGTTGCAGTGAACTGTGATCACACCACTGCATTCCAACCTAGGCAACAGAGCAAGACCCTGTCTCTAAAAAAAAATATCCTGTCCTTGGGCTGGGGGTGGTAAATGAGCTATGAATCTCACCGCAACCACTGCCTCCACCTCACAGACATCACCAGTGGGTCATGGTTATGCCCCTTCTCAGCAAAGCCCTGCGGGAGCTCCCTGCCCCCCACCCCCGGCACTGGGGCCCGCGCTGAACTGCCCGTCTGCACTCCTGCAAAAGAGCACTGAAGGCAACGGTAGCGTGGTAGCAGCCACGGTCCACGTGCGACCCTGAAGGGAAGGTGCTTCTCACAGACACGAGCTGGACCCCTGCGGGAACCCTCCCACCCTTGTCACCGTGGCAGGATCAAGGCTGAGTCACTAAGGCCAGCCTCAGCTGGGCCCTGGTCCTCCGCCCCGGCCCAAACTGCACAACGTGCCGTAAGACTTAGGCTCGATTCCCTCCACGAGTCACCCCGGCAAGGGTGGAAAGGCTGAGTCCTGAGACTCTCACGGTGCCTTTGGAATTTGAGGTCTCTCAGATTCCAGAAATAGGCACGGCGGCTCCAGGCTGGGGTTGGAGGTCTCGGAGAGACAGATGTCGAAAGCGAGGTCAGGAATTGACATGCAGAAATCACCGCCAGCCATGCCCAGAAAGCAGGGCCCAGACCCAGGTGCTGTCCACACCAAATCGGGGTTCTGGGTTTCAGGAGCATGGTGACCACGGCACTGGTTCTGTGCCTCTCCCCTGCACCCTTTTGTGGAACTGGATTCCCCTGGGGCTACCCAGCCCGGAGAGGTCCTATAAAGGGAAGGGGCTTCTGTCTCCCTTTCCTCTCTCCCTTCTCAGTCTCCCTCCACACCCCCACCCTACAAGCAGCAGACAGGGAAAGGGCCATTGTGTTGAAAGGCGAGGCTTACACCATCTCTTCCCAAATGAGGGAAGGCTCCGCCTGTCTGTGCCCTGGCACAGTTCCAAGACATATGAGTACCCTGAGAATAATGTGCGCCCCTTGTGAGCCCATATTCCTTGAACAGTAATCCAACATTTATTTAGCAGAGGCGGCAATTTAAAAAAAATAAATATGAAATATATTTATGTTCAAAACAAGGGATTTATGACATTCAGTCATTAAGTGTCATTTTCCAGACCACGAAATTTATTGCCAGCCATAAACAAGTTAAACTGCTTAAAATGTGGATAATAAAATAAATCTATTTTATTATCGCATTTCCAATAAACAGCACTATGCTGTGCCTTCATCGTTTGTAAAATTTTAGCTGACTCTGACTGTAGGTTTTAGGTGACTCTCAGCTGCTTGGTCTCAGAGTTAGAGGCTGGGCTTGCAGGTTCACCAGAATTGCCCAAAGGAGAGTGATCCTGCCACCGCTGCTACCGCAACTGCGACTTCACAGCCACAGCACCTGTGTGACCCAGGAGGGAAGCAGGGAGGGACTTTGGAGGCACACGGCCTCACAGTGACCTTCAGCAAATGCTGAGTTTGTCACTGTTACCTGCACCTGGTGGACAGGTGGGCGCTTAGCCTGGGATTCTAGAAGGCACAGGGGTGGCCAGAAGGGTCTAAAACTCCTGGGAAGTGGCAAAAGAGAGCTCTTACAGGTAGACGCTTCCTTGCACCATCGGAACCAAGGGCAGCTTGGGGGCCTCCATGGAAGTTGGAGGCCCAGGGAGACTTGGTCTCTGGCCAAGGGGGCCCTTGTGCCACCTGTTTGTGTGGGTTTCGGTGGATAGAAAATGCATGCACTTCTTTAACAAGAAAGTCACCTGGATCCTTTTCCTGTGCCTGTTAGCATATCTGCATCAGTCACAGCAGTCTTCTTCAGCAGGAGTGGGTTCAGTGTGCACATTTCTGGTTCTGGAAGAGTCAACGTGGAAAACGGACTTAACTGGCCCCAGAATCCCAGTTGATCCCAGTGAGGTCGCAGCTGCCCCCAGAAGCTCTCTCTCTGGACTGCCTTTGTTCTGTCTCTGAAATGACTGCAGATCTGGGGTCATCTCCAAAGCAGTCACTTGAAGGTGTCTCTCTAACCTTCCACCCACGTTAGCCTGGCTTCTTCCTCTTCCAGGACATGATGGGAAGGAATCCCCAGGGGACTCCTGGTATCAAAGGACATCCAAGCAGGCCTCTCTCCCCTTACCTCACTGAAAGCTTCTAAACCCTGACACAAGACTGAGACATTGGCTCCAAGTTGATGAGGCTCCTGTCTGTTAGAAATTTTTGACAGGTTGGGTTAGAGAAGCTCTCAGTGCATAATAATGAGAACGCTGTCAGGCTAAATGGCATTCTGACATTTGAAGGAAGAGGCTCATGTACTTTTTGGTTGTTTAAGGGCAAGAAGCCTGGAACTCTGTCTTGTTAAAATGACAAGGAGCAACAAGCAATTTTCCACCTCTCTTCTCCCTGAACAGGTAGAAACTAATAAGGAACTTGTTATTATAAGGAACTTACCAAATAAGATAAGCGTTCATGTGGGAGAGGAACCCTTCAAGAAGGTGCATTTCTATTCGACATCATCCTCCTCATCCTCCTCATCACCATCGTTATCACACATATAATATGTGTGCCAGCAGGGCTCTGTCATAGGCTCTGTCAAGGGAATGAATTCCACAGTCCTTGATTTTGGGATTGCAAATCCTGAGGGTAAAAATGCTGAGAGGCAAAGGGAAAATGATACGGGATCCCTTTAGGTGGCAGTAAATGTGTACAGTGCCACCTACGATATATCAGCAGCTTCCACATTAACACAACCGTAGATCCTGGGGATGACTCTCAGAGTCCCCCATCTGTCCAGCCTCGGGGACAACTGTGAGAAGATGTGGTCAAATAATGGTTTTCACCAGACCAAAGCCTGCACCAAGAAATACCGCAGTCTCAGCCCTTTCACATCCTCACCTTTCCCTTCTAAGCCATGGCCCTGCGAGGAGTTGGGCCTTCTGGAGGCTCTGAGGTTTTTCTTCTTCAATTACGCACAGTCTCATCTTCTGCTCTCCTCAAATTTCTCCTGCTGGTCTGGGTTCTTCTGTGATTTGGGGACTTGTTGCTGAAGACAGGCACTGCCATTGGCCTCACACCTACCTCCATCCCTCCAAATGAGCTTACGGCTTGGGAGAATTGATGCCGAAGGAAACTTTCTCTGAAATACTTTTCTCTGGACAATATGTCTGGAAAGGTTGGGTCTATTTAGAGAAGGAGCTCTTTCCTAAGCCAATGGAACCACCCAGGAGAGTCCTGTTTTAGTACAGGGCACTTGTCTTTTTCTTTCTTTCTTTTCTTTTCTTTTTTCTTTTTCTTTCTTTCCTTCCTCTCTTTTTTCTTGGTTTCTTTCTTTCCTTTCTTTCTTCCTTTCTTCCTTTCTTTCCTTTCTTCCCCTCCCCTTCCCTCCCCTCCCCTCCTTTCCTTCCTTCCTTCCTTCTTTCCTTCCTTTCCTTCCTCTCCTCCCCTCCCCTCCCCTTCCCTTTCTTCGAAATCTTTCTCTGTTGCCCAGGCTAAAGTGCAGTGGTGTGATCACGGCTCACTGTAGCCTCACCTCCTGAACTCAAGCATTCCTCCCTGGACTACAGGCATGTGCTTGTAGTATTAAAAATTTTGATATTTTAAAAATTTTTTATAGAGACAGAGTCTCCCTTTGCTGCCCAGGCTAATCTTGAACTCCTAGGCTCAACCAATCCTCCTGCCCTGGCCTCCCGAAGTGCTGGGCTTACAGGTGTGCACTATCACGCTCAGCTGACACTTGTTTTAGAAGTGGATTTTTCAGTATTAGCACTATTAACATTTGGGGCTGGATCCTTCTCTGCTGTGAGGCTGTCCTGTGCCCTGTAGAATGGTCAGCAAGATCCCTGGTCACTACCAGATGCCAGCAGCACTTCTCCCCCTGAGTTGTGACACCTCAAAAATGTCTCTGCACATTGACAAATTGTTCCTGGGGAGATGGGGTGGGAAAATTACCCCCAGTTGAGAACCACTATTTTAGATGTATTAATATTATACCTGTAGGTTAAAGTTTTTTATCCTAATGATAATAATTACACAAAAACTAATAATTAATGTTATAAAAGTAGCACAGAAAGTAGCTAGGCTCTAAAGGAAACTTGGAGATTCCAACTCCTACCGTCCCACCTGCAAAAGTTTTGGAACGTTGTTAAAATGCAAGGTGGTCCATATCACAGCCGTGGAACGCTGGCAAAAGCAATGCAGAAATCAGCCAGAGAAGCAAAAAGAGTCCTGAGGCTACAAGTCAGGAGATGAGGTCCTGGTCTTAGCCCTGGTCTGCGAGGAGTGTGACAATAGATAAGTCACGTTATTTTTTTATTTTTTATTTTTTAATTTTACTTTAAGTTCCGGGATTCATGTGCAGAACGTGCAGGTTTCTTACATAGGTATACATGTGCCATGGTGGTTTGCTGCACCCGTCAACCCATCATCTAGGTTTTAAGCCCCACATGCATTAGGTATTTGTCCTAATGCCCTCCCTCCCCTTGCCCCTCAACCCCTGACAGGCCCTGGTATGTGATGTTCCCCTCCCTGTGTCCATGTGTTCTCATTGTTCAACTCCCACTTATGAGTGAGAACATGTGGTGTTTGGTTTTCTGTTCTTGTGTTAGTTTGCTGAGAATGATGGCTTCCAGCTTCATCCATGTCCCTGGACATGAACTCATTCTTTTTTATAGCTGCATAGTATTCCATGGTGTATATGTGCTGCATTTTCTTTATCCAGTCTATCACTGATGGGCATTTGGGTTGGTTCCAAGTCTTTGCTATTGTAAGTATTACTGCAATAAACATACGTGTGCATGTGTCTTTAGAGTGGAAAGATTTATCATCCTTTGGGTATATACCCAGTAATGGGATTGCTGGGTCAAATGGTATTTCTGGTTCTAGATCCTTAAGGAATCGCCACACTGTCTTCCACATTGGTTGAACTAATTTACACTCCCACCAACAGTGTAAATGCATTCCTGCTTCTCCACAGCCTCGCCAGCATCTATTATTTCCTGGATAAGTCACTTTAAATTTGGCCCTTAACTTGTTCCTTCTTACAACGAAGTAATTGGACTAAAGATGTAGTGGTTTTCCATGTTTCTTCTGCTATGACCCATGTTGACATTGGAGACACTTCCACTGATACATCCCAGTGTAGACAGCCTTTGTCGTTTAATGTTCTGGTAGAAAATGCAATTTCTAATTTGTAGTCGAAGGTGGCCCTTTCTCATAACTGGGATCAGGACTCTGAATGTGTTCTGATATCCTGGGTGAGAACTTCTGAAATATATAATCCTCACTATTTCTTCTAGTGCTAAAATTCGAGAGTCAAAGAAGCTTCTTATTCTGCCCTGTTTGCCTGTCAACAAATACAATGAACAACATCCTTATTCCCCGATTTTCTGCCTCTGTTACTTACCAGCAGGCCACTCGCCCTCCAAACTGCCTCTTCATAAAATCTGCCATTACTGCTCATCGCTCTGGCCCAGCAGGTGATGAATTCAGTCCATGCCATTAAGCTTCCCTGTGGATGAGTCATCTATTTTTACAAGTTGCTGGTTGCGAGACTAGAGCATAACTTACGGGTTTGTAAATATTTTGGCATCTTCCTTTGTCAAAAGATACTGTGAGACCCAGTGATTCACAAGGTTGTCCTGACACTTTCCCCTCCTCCACCAGCATTTTGAAACATTGTTATCCGGTTTGGTACAAGTTCTTTCAGCTATCACTCCTGCAGGTGTTGGTTTGAAGTTACATAAAGAACAGATTTTCATCTTTCAATAAGTGGCTGGATAGGCTAAACTCAGGCTATAATTTATTACTCTTGGCTGCAATCCATCCATTTGTCTCTGTCCTTGGAGGGAGGTGTTTAATCTCCCTTTGGCTCAGCTTTGGAAGGGACTCACTGATTTGTTGAAAAGTTCATTAGACACCGATGGAGCCCCTGCTGTATGCCAAGAATTGCACTAGGTGCTGGGGATATAAAGATGAATATGACTTGCTCTCAAAGAATGCGTCCGTCTAATGAGGCTGTGGCTGTAACTCAACCATTGCCACACAGCATGGTGAGCAGTAGAAATGAAACAAGCTCACATTATGTGGGTGGTGCAAAAGAAAATGACCCATTTTTCCTAGTGAGATAGGAGGCTTTGTAGAGGAAATTTCACTTGAGCTGTGTCCTACAAGATGGGCAGCAGTTTTCCATGGGGAAAATAAGTGGGGAATAATAATAGGTAGAAAGGCATGGAGGCTTGAAACAGTATGGGGAGTTTAGGGAACTGCAGGCCTGCACCTTGTGGCATAGGTGTGTATGTGCAAGTGTGTAAATGTGTGCGCACACACGCACGTGGGTGCTGTGGGAGAACAGCTGAGGGATGAGGTGGCAGCAGATGAAAATGAGAGGCCGGGTGCAGTGGCTCACGCCTGTAATCCCAGCGCTTTGGGAGGCTGAGACGGGCAGATCATGAGGTCAGGAGTTCGAGACCAGCCTGGCCAACATGGCGAAACCCTATTTCTACAAAAAATACAAAAAAATCAGCTGGGCGTGGTGGTGCATGCCTGTAGTCCCCGCTACTCAGGAGGCTGAGGCAGGAGAATCGCTTGAACCCGGGAGGCAGAGGTTGCAGTGAGCCGAGATTGTGCCACTGCACTCCAGCCTGTGCAACCAAATGAGACTCAGTCTTAAAAAAAAAAAGTATAAAAAAATGAGATAGGCAGAGACCAGTCATGAAAAGACTTGCATGGTGCAATAAAGGGTTTGAATTTATTCACAATAGAGAACTTTTGAAGGATTTTAAGACAGGAATCAGCATTATGGGATTTGCCCTTTAGGAAAATATCCAAGGACCAGGGTTGGGGGCTGGACTCAAGAGGAACCTGGGAAGCATTTGGGAGGTGGGACATAGTGGACAATTTTCCTCAGTAAGGGAGGGGAGAGAGAGCTGGAAGGCTAGAATGGCGTCTAGGTATCAGCCCTGAGGACCTGGTGGATGAGGGTGCCCTTTGCCAAGAAGGAGAACACAGAGAAGGGAAGAGGTGTGGGGAAAAGATCATGACTTTTGTTGGGAATATGTTGAGTGTGAAGTGTCTGTATAGCACCAGGTGCAAAGGTCTAGTTCTCCATCTCTAATAAGAAGCCTCATCGTGGAAATGTGATTAAAATTAAAATCCACGTTGAAATCCTCAGACGAAAGGTGCCATGGAAGTGCAAAGAATCATTATTTAGTGTCTTATGGGCTGTCCTTATTGCCTAGAACACTCTCCTCGTCTTGATTCTAATTGCCTCTGATGCCTGTCTTATCATATTCTAGACATGAAAAAAACAAGTGTCTCGAATGTCAGCTGCGGGACGGGCTTGTGCAAGGAGGGCTCTGAAGCTCTGGGAGAGGCAGCTTGGACTCAGAGAGGTGGGGAAGGTTCTGTTCTCAGTCCTGTGAGTTTGAGCCTTAACCTCTTTCACTCAATCACTAGGTCAGTCTCTGCTCCTTGTTTTGGTTTGTTTTATCAGAACTTAACAACATTCAAGATTTCTTCTTTCCTGATCACCTGCTGCATGGCTGGTATTGGGGATTTAATGCTGAACAGACCGACATGATCCCTGTCCTCACAGAATAAATTGTCTAATAGAGGCAGGAGAATGGCGTGAACCCGGGAGGCAGAGCTTGCAGTGAGCCAAGATCGCGCCACTGCACTCCAGCCTGGGCGACAGAGTGAGACTCCATCTCCAAAAAAAAAAAAATTGTCTAATAGTAGGAAGAATTTTTTAAGGCATCTCATGATGAAGAGGGAGAATCAAGACTGAATCAAACTGTTCCCAAAGAGAACTGTTTTAACTTCAGGAAACAAATGGATGCTCTCTCTTTAAGACAGTGTTTGGAAAACCAGCTCTCCCACTCTGCAAGGCCTCCATGGTAGGGGGAGCAGGCGAAGGAGTTTCTCCTGTTGGGGCTGAGGCAAATATGAATCATCACTTGTATATAATCTTCTGTATCCTGGAGATTCAAAACCAGCGCCTCCATCTTCCCAGTGAAAGTGTTTACATGGCATTATTACCGTGATTATTTATGACTTGCTTTGCTGCCTCAAGGGATAAGGGCGAGTATGAGCTGGGAACTTGTTTCAGTCAAAAGGAAGTGGAATTAAATGATGTTAGAACCTGTACTTAATACCCACATGGAGCTATTCAGCTTAATCTGCCAGAACACCATGGGAGGAGGAGAATGTCTTCCCTCGTCATTGCACTGGGGGAAGCCAGAAGGAAATGCATCTGATGGGAGCAGGGAGCGCAGGTTTGCTGTTTCCCTGACTGCATTTGTGCTCTAAAGGAAGAGCTACTCATTAGAAAGAAGCAAGAACACAGCTATCCCTGTGGGTGTCATGCCCAGAACAATGCTTCCCTTTTTTCTCAGGTCCTAAATTTCCTTCCAAACCTTTGCTTCCTCCCTCTCTTCTGTTCTCACAATAGAGCACCTGCTATTTCACATATCGTGTTGGGTGCTGGAGATATACAGACAGAACCCACAAGCCCTGCCCCTGAAGGACAAACCACAGGTAACGGGAGTGCTGTTGCCCATCTCAGCAATTCAGGTTAAATCCTCCAACCACCATGACCCCAAGACCCTACCTTTTGACGGGCTTAGGGATGTTACAGAGCATTGCAGGGGGTTGCCTGCATGTGTTTCATCAGTAGGAACCAAGCAGTATCTCAAGGCATGAACAGAAATAGATTCTGTTTGTTGGTAGCTGGAAAATTCGTTGGCTGCTGGTGAGTGAACTATCTCCCCTTCCTCCTTCCCAGAGAGAAGCACTACCCAGCTTGGTGCCTGGATGCAGGCAGTGTGAGAGGCCTGCCTAGGGAAAGGGCTCAGCAAGAGGCCCAGGAATGACCCATCTTTCACCTTGTGCCTCCCGCAGGTGTTCAGCTGCATTGGCGCCAGAGCACCAATGGGGCAAGAGAATCCTCTGGAGAAGTTTTCTGTGATCTCATCACAGGAGTAGCCCAGAGGAACAGCCCAGGGCCTGGGGCCTAGGATGGGTGGACCAGGCCATGCAGCTGGTTGGGGGCTTGACCCCCACTCAAAAAGGTGCCATATTTTGACTATTTTCTCTATTACTTCCATATGTCTTCCACTAACATCTTTCCACCATTGTCTTAATCTTCTATCAAACTGTTTTTAAAAATCCACTTTTCTGAACATGTTTTATTCTTTTTTTTTCCAAAACATTTTTTTTCTTATCCACATAAATCTTTTTTTAACTTCCAGCAAAGTCTCCCTTCTCTCCTCCTGTTCCTTCCCAGGAACAAGAAAACATCCAAGCTAAGTGACTAAAAGTTGGATCCATTTTCTTCTCAGACAGGAGAGAGAAGGGGAATGGCTGTAAGCAGTGAAGCTCCTCTTTGAACACTGTAGAAGGTTCCCATCCTGGCACAGGCATGGTGAGCATCAGGAACTAAGGAAGGCACTAGGTGCTGTGGGATCACAGTATAGGATCCGACAGTATAGGGATGTCTAGCTGGAATCAAGAGGGGTGGCGTCCCAGCTGGTTCTTGGAGGATGAGTAGGATTTTGCCAGATATCTGTGCCCTTCCTCCCTCTTCTAGTACCAACCCTTCCAATAGGCTAAAATAACTAGTAAGGGTGAATTTAGAGCAGAAAACAAGGGAGTGAGGAGGGACATGTGGGTAGAGGGGCGTCCCACTCCCTGCTTTAGTGTGAGTGGAAGGATAACTGGGCCAGTCTCGGGCACGTGAACTTCTGGTTTGTTTAAGGTTTTTTTCATCAAGCGACTGCCTTCTTTTCTCTGGCCCATGTCTATGCTCTTTTCACACCCCACAACACAGCCTGCTATGAGAGGTCTCAATGTGGAGGATGGAGGACAATTTCCCACAATTTCCTGTATGCCAGGGGTAACCAAGTGAGAATTAAAAAGCTCGAAGCCTGTGTAGTGGAAGAACTGTCAAAAAAACCTGTGGCACACTGTATAGCTGGAAAGCAGGGAGGGTTTGGGGGAGGGATCAGGTGGGGAAAGCAGATGAGGGCAGAGCCTGCTGGGGAAGCTTACAGGCTTTGCATTTAAGCCACACTGGGAGGGCACTCACCCTCCGCATTAATGTTTGGTTTATGTCGCAGTTGCCCAGCTGGACATGGTCCTGGGCGGAAGTTGCCGAAGCCACGCTGGGAGGGCACTCACCCTCTGCATTAGTGTTTGGTTTATGTCCGAGTTGCCCAGCTGGACATGGTCCTGGGCGGAAGTTGCCGAATTAACTTCTTGACATGCTTGATTGCAATGTCCACGAGTGTGCTTTCATTTTATACTTCACTGACAAAGTTTACTGCCTGAGTGCTGGCTGTTTGTGTGCTGGCTTTCAGACCAGGGAGTTGGTATCTGTGCAGATGCCACCGGTACAGGACTGAGGATCAACACACAGGCCAGACTCCCACCTCAGGTCCCAGTGTTGCTGCTGTGCAGAGCCCCTCCTTTCTCCCAAAGCCATGACCACCACCTCTGCTGCCGCCACCGATGCTGTTGCTGCCACCATTGCCATTGTCTGGGCCTACGTTCTGGCCTGGCCACCTTGGGTCCTTGCGGTGCACCTACACACCTGGCTGGACCAATTGCTCAGCCAGCGGTATAGGTGCACCGCAGGGGCCCATGGTGGCCCAGCTGGAACCTAGGCCCAGAAAATGTCAATGGTGGCAGCAACAGGGTCCCAAGGTAGCCCCAAGGCATGCACCTACACAACTGGCTGGACCAATTGCTCCACGCCTGGGCTGCCTCCCAGGACTGCAGGTCTGAGCTCATTGTGTGCATGCAGCGGCCCAGCATACATGTCCTACTGCCCATCAGACCTCCTTTATAAAACACAGGTTTGAAGATAAAATTATGAAGAGTTTCAGGACAGCTCCAGCAGAGCATGAAACCAAGCGCCAGGCTGTTCTGAGAGTAAAACCCTGTGCAACTGTACGGGTCACACACCTGTGAAGCTGGCCTCAATTATAAGGCAACTGCCCACTGGATGCTAGAGACAAAGCAGGACAGCTGAGAGAAATCCTTCTGAGACCCTGTAAGCCTTCACCCTGCAGCCAACTTCCAAAGGCTAAATAAAGGCACAGCTGCGGGACGGAGGGAGATATACTAAGGAATGGAAAGATGAGGGTGGAACTGGATGGAGGTCAAAGAGAAATTCCCAGTGATACAAAGAGCCAGCATAGAGAAATCTCACACAGCTTACATGGCTGATGGCTGCACAGCAAGGAATGCTAAAGTTCATTCACTGGGCTCAAGGAAACCATGAGGCGGGAGCCCGGCTCTGCAGGGAGAAATGAAGAGCACCTGAAAGGAGTGTCAGCTTGAGTGGTAAGTGAGCCCAAAAGAGTCAGCAGCACCAACTCACTCTCGCTTGGCTTTTCCAGGACAAACCCAAGGTGAGGTGTCCACAGCACCAGTCACTGGGATAGAAAAGCCTTAGGGGGCCAGAGCCCTGCTGGCCACAAAAGACCATGGGAATCTGCACAGCCCCGCTCCCCCCGCCAACCTCAGGAACTGAAGCCAGCACCCAGACAGAACAGCAGAGGAGGAGGGAAGGGGAGTGCTGAAATTTTCATTTCAGATGACAAAGGAGGGCATCTCTGCCTTTTCCAGTCACAGCACACATAGAAACTGGTGGCACGTGTCATGCACACTGCGGAGGTGGGTGAAGACAGTCCATGAGATGGCTCACCTCGCCACCTCAAGGGCCCTGGGAATCCCTGCCTTATCTCACCTGGTACCTCTTTAGGGACTGCTGGCTCTAGAGCATTATGAACTGCAGGACCCACCTGTGGTCATTCATGGCCCAGACTTCTTTTCTGAATTAAACTTTCTGCTCAGTAACCCTAGAGGTTTAACCTTGCCCTGCAAAGATCACAGGAATCCCCCTGCCCTCAGCGCCCCCACCTAGTTTGGGGCAGGCTGTGTGGCGTGTGTGTGTGTGTGTGTGTGTGTGTGTGTGTGTCTGTGTGTGATGGTGGTGGTGATAGTGGTGATGGGGTGTGTGTGGCGGGGAGATAGTTTGTGCGTATTTGGGGGATGTGCGTTGGGGGAGAAGGAAGGGCCTTAAAAAGGATTTCTACTTACTAAATTTTTATTTAGGAAAGATCAGGTAGAAACTGCAATTTCTGCACTTTTCAAGGACTTCCAATCCAAACAGAAAACGCTTGGCCAGAGAAGCAAAATTTTAAAACATGTATTTGCGAAGCAGTATTTTACCTAGGATCTGTTAAAGTGGCTGAATTCCTTGCAAAGTTCTGCTTCTGAAAAAGTAATGTGTGCTCAGGAAACATTCTGAAATTTCAGAAAAGTAGAGAAGAGGAAAAAATAGTTCTAAAGATGATCACTAGTAACATCATTTTAATCTCTTTCCTTCCAATCTTTTCTCTATAAATGGTTATATGGGTATTTTTGTCTGTTTTGCATGAAGGTATTTTTATTTTACTTAAAGGAAGTTTTTACACTATATATGCCACTTTGAATTTCATTCCTTTTTCTAAATTTATACTATCAGGCTTTTCCATGTGTAACATAATACTTAAAAACATAAGTGTTTAAAAAGATGAATTATATCGCAAAATAATATGTGTTTTAGGAAAATTTTTAAATTTTTAAATATAGACAAATCAAAAGAAAATTAAGTTAAAAGCAGCCCAGTCATACTTCCATAACCTTGTTTCTCTGTTCCCCATCATCCTTGCCAGTATAGTAGGTAAAAACCTTAGTCTATGCCAGAAATATTATCTATTATACATGTGTATGCCTGTATGCAAATATAATGTCATATGCACGTATAAATGTGTGTGGGTATCTATAGCTATATTTACATATGCTCCTTAAGTTGATTCCAATCCCACTCTGACTCTGAGCCCAACCCTGTCATCTGCTTGGACTTTCGTGCTCATTATCCTTAGGATTATGAGAGGCCTTGGGGTCTTCTGCAGTAACAAGAATCAGCAGGCTCTTGCCTTCCATCCCATCCTTTCTGGTGACCCCCAACAGGCCTGCAGCCTCTCTGCCGGTTCCCACTCACTGTAGGGCCTCTGCTTTCCCAGGCCTATGTGGTCTGAGCTCCTTGCTCAGGTCCAGACTCTTGATGCCAGAGTCCAGCCTCTGGGCAGGAATAGTGAAGGACAGGCAGAAGGCAGGTGCCAGCCCCCTGCTTGCAGGACCCGCACAGCTGCGTCCCTTTGCACTGGTTGGCAGGGAGACCCTCTCCTGTCCCTTGTACATCCAAAGATGCCTTGTCTCCAGGCTCACCTTTCAGGAACTAAAAGCTTTTATAAATACCCAGATGATCAAAAGGTTTCTGCTTTCAGGCAGGGGACCTCTAAAGACCTGTCTTCCAGCTTGGAAGAGGAGGAGAGGGGAGCACGCAGCAAACAACCCACATGTTGATATGCATGAAGTATCCTGCCACACAGGGAACACCTGCAGCTGGGAGATGTGGTTGCTGGAAGGTGGAGTGTGTCTTGTAAGCACATTGGAACAGAGCAATGATGAGAATGGGCAGAGGGAGCCTTGACTGTACATGAGATTTTGCATATTGACACCAACAGCAAATGGTTAAATATACCCAACTCTTTCCCTATGTGCTTTTCCTCATTGTTAAAGAAAGACCTTTTAAAGAGAGTCCCCTTGTGTCTTCTTTGCTACTGTATTAGTCAAGGCTCTCCAGAGAAACAGAAGCAATAGGAGATTTATGTGTAAGCACAGATTTACTTTCAGATGTTGGCTCACACATTTGTGGGGGCTGTTAAGTCCAATATTCACAGGGCAAGCCAACAGGCTGGAAATGAAGGGAAGAATTAATGCTGCAGTCTTAAGTCTGAATTCTGAGGGGCGGGCCAGGCAGGCTGGAAACCCAGGAAGAGTTTCTACGCTGCAGTCTTTTAGTTCAAATACCTTCTTTGGGAAACCTCAGTCTTTGCTTTAATAGGAACTCCAGCTGATTGGATGAGGCTCACCCACATAATGTAGGGTAATCTGCTTTACTCAAAATCTACTGATCCAAATGTTTATCTCATCTAAAAAATACTTTCTCAGCAACATCTAGACTGACATCTGCCCAAACAGCTGGACACCATAGCCAAGTTGACACATAAAATTAACTATTGCAACTTCTTTACAAACTTCAAGAGAAACAGAGAAGAATGAAAGCTGAGCTGCATACCTGGCATAAAGTGCCAAAGCTCAGTCTGTGAAGCAGCATGTTTCTCACGGGGCCCAGAGGGTGTCTGTGCTTATAGAGATTCTTTTCAATTGAACAGATTTCACTTGACTTCAAAAGTGCTTGAGTCAAATGCTTCAAGATGGTTGACCAGAGGCATCTGGTACTCACCTCCTCCACCAAGAAAAACCAAAATAGTAAGTTGATAATCACACTTTGGATAGATCATCTGAGAGAGAATGCTGGAATTCCATAGAGAAGTGACAGGAAACACCTAAGGCAAGGAAGGAGAGGGAGGCAAGGCAGCCTACTTGGCTGGGAGCCCAGAGAGGCCTCCTAGTGCACAGAAAGGGTAAGTGGGTGACCCTCAGCAGTCCACATTCCCACCATGGACATCTGCAATTCCAGCCATGGGAGAGATTCTTGACTCTCATGAGCCCTGAGACTAAAACAGGGAGCTGTCTTGAGATGGCATGACAGCATTGCTCCAGAGAGGGGGCTTACATCACCCCCAGACCTAAGCAGCTACAGCACAGTGCCATTTTGAGAGCCCAGCCCCCACCAGACCACATCCTGTTCTGGGTCCCAACCACCCCTGCATCTCCGCATCCCTGGAGTCCCAGTGACATCCCCCATCCGCAGCTGCTGCTGCTGCTGTTTGCTGCCACCAGAACTAAAGCATGAGCCACTGGGAGTGACTCCACCATCCCCAGCAAAGGGGCCACTGTGCACTTACAAGCACCCTAAGGTCAGGCTCTGCCACCCACAGCCGCCACCTGGAACCGAAGTGCACACTTCCCAGCCATCTGCCTACGACTGCTACTATTGAAAGCAACCCCACTCTCCCCAGCAGCAGAGCTGCAGTGTGGCTGCTGCTGCCCCTGTACCTGAGCATTTTTCCAGGGCCCAGGGATCAGCCCACCCCTACTCACCACAGCCAGCATACGCATGCACCACCAGGGATCCTGAGGACAGGTCCACCCAGCCCAACTCTCACCTCCCAGGGCCCAAGTGTGCTGTGTGGGGGCATATGAATTGCTCTGCTCCATCCACCATCATTGGCACCTGAAACTCCTCCTAAGGGCCTGAGGATGGGCTCACCCAACCTGCCACTACCCCCACAGCTGTCACACCCACACACACATGTCACCTGGGGACTAGCCCACCCAGGCCATTGCAGCCACCACCAACACCAGCATGGATAGGATGGAAGCTAGAGGATGATCTGGCTGCTGCTGCCGTCATTGCCCCTGCCATGCCTGCTGCCTAGGAACCTGAGCCCCTCCCCAACTGGACTACCACTGCCCCTTCCAGCACCTGAGCAAGCCTCCTGGAGGCCCAAGAATCAGCCTGCCTGGAATCACTAACCCCAGGACCAGCATAAACTGCTCTGGGGCCCAAGAACAGGCATGCTCTTGGCCCACTGCTGCCACCACTAGAGCCTGAGGACTGGCCCACCTGTTGCCCCTGTCCCCAGCAAAACTTCCCCACAGCCTCCATTAACAGCCACACTCTAAGCCACTAAGGAAATCACAGACACCACTGACACTGTTTACAACTGAAGAACTCATACAGAGACTACACTACTGCATGCATCTAGAATCAAGGCCAGAGTGCCCTACCCAATCAACACCATAGCTATATCTTCAGAAAAAATGTCCTTCCCTGTGAAAGTAAATCCAAAAAATCAGAAGAAGCAACTGTTACACCAGATGCACAGATAATCAACATAAGGACACAAGAAACATTAAAAGCAAGGAAATATGACACCTCCAGAGGAACACAATAATTCTTCAACAACAGATGCCAATGGAAAAAAAATGAAATGCCAGAGAAAAAATTCAAAATAGTGATATTAAAGAAACTCAGTGAGATGCAAAAGAATACAGATTAAACAATACAAAGAAATCAGAGAAACAATTCAGGATATGAATAAGAATTTCCCTAAAAAGAAATAGATATAATTAAAAAGAACTAAACAGAAATCTTGGAACCTAATAATTCATTGAATGAAATAAAAAATACATTCAAGAGCTTGAACAAGGAACTAGATCAAGCAGAAGAAAGAATCTCAGAATTTGAAGTCAGGTTTTTGAAATAACCCAGTCAGACAAAAATAAAGAAAAAAATAAAAGAGAATGAACAAAGCCTCCAAGATATATGGGACACCATAAAGCAACCAAATATTTTAAGTTTTGATATTCCAGAAGGCAAAGAGAAAACTGAAGGGATAGAAAACCTATTTAATGAAACAATAGGTTAAAACTTCCCAAGTCTAGCAAAAGATCTAGACACACAGAGGCAGGAAGCTCAGAGATTTCCAAAGAGATTTAATTCAAAAAGATCTTCTTCATTATAGTCAAACTGTCAAAAGTCAAAGACAGAATTCTAAAACCCACAAGAGAAAAATGTCACTTATAAGAAAACTTCATCAGACTAACAGCGGATTTCTCCTCAGAAACCTTACAGACCAAGAGAGAATGGGCCGATACATTTAAAGTGCTGAAAGAAAAAAACTGCCAGCCAAGGATACTATACCCAGTAAAGTTATCCTTCATAAATGAAGGAAAAATAAAGTCCTCCCCAGACAAGCAAAAGCTGAGAAAATTCATCATCATTAGACTGGGTCTATAAGAAATGCTTAAGGTCGTCCTATACCTGGAAATGAAAAGATAATATCTACCATCATGAAAAGACATAAAAGTATAAATAAAACCCATTGGGTAGAATGAACACAGAACTAAGGAAAAGAAGGACCCTAATGTTACCACGAGAGAAAACCATCAAATCACAATGATAAATAATAAGGCAGAAATAAAGGAACAAAGGATATACAAACAACCAGGAAATGATCAATTAATTAACAGGTATAAGTCCTCACATATCAACAGTAACCTTGAATGTAAACAGCCTAAGGTTTCCACTTAAAAGATATAGACTGGCTGAATGGGTTTTTTAAAATGACCCAATTATATGCTTTCTAAAAGAAACTGACCTCACCTATAAAGACACATATAGACGGAAAGTAAAAAGATGGAAAAAGTTACTCTATGCAAATGAAAGCCAAAAGCAAGCAGGAGTAACTATACTTATATCAGATAAAACAGACTTTAAGTCAAAAACAATAAAAAGTGACCCAAAAGGTTCATTATATAATGATAAATAGATCAATTCAGCAAAAGGATATAACATATCTAAATATATATGCATCCATAATTGGAGCACCCAGATATATAAAGCAAATATTATTAGATCTAACGGGAGAGATGGACTCTAATACAATAATAGTTAGGGACTTCAATACCCCATTCTCAGCATTAGACAGATCATCTAGACAGAAAATTCACAAAGAAACATTGAATTTAGAATATCTTAGGCAAAATTGACCTAACAGACATTTACAGAACATTTCATTCAACAGCTACAGAATACACATTCCTCTCATCAGCACATGGAATCAAAATTATATCAAATATCTTTTTGGATCACAATGGAATAAAACTAGAAATCAATAAAAAGAGAAGCTTTGGAAACTGCAAATACAGGAAATTAAACAGCATTCTTCTGAATGACCATTGGGTCAAAGAAGAAATTAAGGAGGAAGTTGAAAAATTTTTTGAAACAAATGAGAGTCAAAATACAACATACCAAGACAGGCATGGTAGCTTGGCTCATGTGCATGATTCTAGCTACTCAAGAGGCTGAGGTGGGGAGGGTTGCATGAAGCCAGGAGTTTGAGACCAGTCTGAGCAACATAGCAAGGTCCTGTCTCTTAAAAATAAAAGTTTCTAAATTGGCCAGGTGTGGTGGGTGCCTGTGTGGTCCCAGCTATTTGGGAGGCTGAGATTGGAGGATCACTTGAGCCCAGGAGTTGGAGGCTGCAGTGAGCTATGATCACAAAACTGCACTCTAACTTGGATGATAAAGTGAGATCCTCTCTCTAAAAACAAAATATTAATAATAAAAAAACCACACAACATACCAAAACCTATGGATTACAGAAAAAGCAGTGCTATGAGGGAATTTTATAACAATAAACACCTACATCAAAAAAGTAAAAAGATTTCAAATAAACAATCTAATAGTGCCCCGCAATGAATTAGAAAAGCAAGAACAAATCATACCCACAATTAGTAGAAGGAAAGAAATAATAAAGTTCAGAGCAGAACTAAACAAAATAGACTTTAAAAATATAAAGGATCAATGAAACAAAAAGTTATACTAGCTAGACTAACAAAAAAAAAAGACCCAAATAAACAAAATCAGAAACAAAAAAAGAAAAAATTACAACTGATAACACAGAAATACAAAAGATCATCAGCGACTATTATAACTGTATGCTAATAAACTAGAAAACCTAGAAGAAGTGAATAAATTCCTAGATACATACAACCCACCAAGATTGAATCAGGAAAAAATAGAGAACCCGAATAGATCAATAATGAGAAATGAGATTGAATCAGTAATAAAAGGTCTCCTAACAAAGAAAAGTCCATGACCAGATGGTTCACTGCCAAATTCTAGCAAACTTACAAAGAACAAATAAAACCAATTCTCAAACATCTCAAAAAGTTAAAGAGGAGGGAATTCTCCTTAACTCATTCTAAAAGGCCAGCATTACTGATACCAAAACCAGACAAGAATGCAACCAAAAACAAAAACTACAGGCCAATATCCTTGATGAACATAGATACAAAAATCCTCCAAAAAAATACTAGCAAACCAAATCCAACAGCACATCAAAAAGATAATACACCATGATCAAGTGACCATACTACCCAAAGCAATCTACAGATTTAATGCAATCCCTATTAAAATACCAAGGGATGCAAAGATGGTTTATCTCAGGGATGCAAAGATGGTTTAACATATGTAAATCAATAAATGTAATACATCATATCAACAGAATAAAGGACAAAAACCATATGATCATTTCAACAGTTGCAGAAAAAGCATTTGATAAAATTCAACATCCCTTCATGATCAAAACTCCCAACAAACTAGGCATTGAAGGAACATACCTCAAAATAATAAAGGGTATATGTGACAAACTCATAGCTAACATCATACTGAGTGGGGAAAATCTGAAAGCCTTTCCTCTAAGAACCGGAACAAGACAAAAATGCCCACTTTCACCACTCTTGTTCAACATAGTACTGGAAGTTCTAGGCAAAGCAATCAGGCAAGAGAAAGAAATAAAAGGTGTCCGAACTGGAAAAGAGGAAGTCAAATTTTTCCTCTTTGCGGAAGACATGATTTTATATCTAGAAAAACCTAAAGGCTCTGCCCAAAAAAGGAAAAAAAAAAACAAACAAAAAACCCTTAGATCTGATAAATAAATTCAGAGAAGGTGCAGGATACAAAATCAACATACAAAAATCAGTAGCATTTCTATATACCAATAATGAACAATCTGAGAAAGAAATCAAGAAAGCAATCCCATTTGCAATCGTCACACACACACACACAAATACCTAAGAATAAATTCAACAAAGGAGGTGAAAGACCTCTGTAAGGAAAACTACAAAACACTGAAGAAAAAAATTGAAGAAGAAACTAACAAATGGAAAACATCCCATGTTCATGGATTGAAAGAATTAATATTGTTAAAATTACCATACTACCCAAAGCAATCTGCAGATTTAATTCAATCCCCATCAAAATACCAATGTCATTTTTTATAGAAATAGAAAAAAAAATCCTAAAATTTGCATGGAACCAAAGACAGTTTAAATAGCCAAAGCAAAATCCTGAGCAAAAAGAACAAAGCTGGAAACATCACACTCTCAACTTTTAAAATATATTGTAAGGCTAAAGTAACCAAAAAAGCATCGTATTGGTAGGAATGAAAGGGGAATGGAGAGACGTTGGTTAATGGGTA
Organism: Homo sapiens; assembly: GCF_000001405.40. Classification (NCBI taxonomy): domain Eukaryota; kingdom Metazoa; phylum Chordata; class Mammalia; order Primates; family Hominidae; genus Homo; species Homo sapiens. The sequence continues at coordinate 3,598,381 of NC_000006.12, read as the reverse complement.
CAAACATACAGTTAGATCGAAGGAATAAGATCTAACAATCAATGGCAGAGTAGGGTGACTATAGTTAACAACAATGTTTTGTCTATTCCAAAATAGCTAGAAAAGAGGAATTGAAATATTCCCAATATATAGAAATTATAAATACTTGAGGTGATGGATACCCTAAATACCCCAAATTGATCCTTATCCATTCTACGTATCAAAATATCATGTGCCTATAAAATATGTACAAATATTATGTATCAATAATAAAATGTTCAAGTCTTCTTACAACAGCATGTTTACAAACATGAACTTTTAAGTCAGACAGACAGAGGTGAATCCCGGCTTTACCATTTGCCAATTGGGTGACCCAGAGCAACTTAGGTGGCTTCTCTGAGCCCCAGTGTACTCATCTCAAAATGAGGATAATAACGACTTTCCCATAGGGTGATATGTTTAGTGTGTTTAGCACAGTGCCTCACACAGGGTCAAACACTCAAGAAATTGTAGCTTTTTGTATAGTTACCAAGAGCTGTAAAGGACCGCCTTTATTTGTCATAGAAACCATTAATATCCCATCCCACTAGCCTTTGTGTACTAAGTTCATGGTTTATGTTGACTTGGCTTGACTTCTGTCTTTTCTCCCTCAAGTCTCCATGGGGATTGAAAGCTCTCCCTAGTTGGGCCCTGGAAACTGTAGCTGGCTCCATCCCATGCTCTTTACCTTACCTTCCTTCCCAGGCAATGCTCAGCTCAATAGAAAGCTCAAGTCCTATACAGTTGTCAGTTCAGTTGAACCAGAGGTTCAATTACGCTGTGTAGCTGCTCCAGGGTAGCCTCTGCCTCAGAAGAAGACAAGATAAGTGATTGATCTGCCACTGATGCTCTGCCCCCAGGAGCTTTTCTTTCTCCATTCCTGGCTCCTGGAGGTAAGGACAATTTCTGGGAAAGTGGTTGCTGTAAGAGGTCATTGTTACATTTGGGGATATGTTCCTTTTATCGAGAAAGCAAATCTCTCCAATGCTCAGCTTCAAGGTGTAGGTGATGTTAGGGTGCCCTATTTTTGGGATTCTCCCATTTGTCTGGCAACCAGAAAATGTAAGAAAATGCAGTACAATCTTGCTATTAAACACCTTGCTATTCCAGAGATTCAATTTTACTGTGTAACTATTTCTCTGTCTAAGACCTGTAAATTCTACATCACAGATGCTGTTTTGGGCATGGTTGCATTCAGGAAGCTCCTGAGCCTCGGAGCCATTATAGCATCTCACAGGCCATGGGACACTGGCGTATAGCCACAATAGGAGAAATGTGTCCACCAGGACATCCTTATCAAAGAGCACAAGAAAATGAAAAGGGAACAGGCAGTCTTACCACTGCTCTCCATCAGGCGTTCTCCTTCTCTTTTTTTTCCTAATTATGTTTAGTCATCTTTCCTGGAAACTGTAAATCTCGCTCAGTGAAATTATTCATATTTATAGCCCCTGCATGTAAGTGGCATTGAACTCTATTAAAAATGATAAAAGGTAGATGCCTTTGAACGCTGGGATCAGCCAGCCAATTGTTTTAAGATTCACCTCAACTGACTTTAAGACGCACATGGGTATCATTTGGCAATAAAGCAAGTTTTATTAAATTTAGGCAACTTTCTTCGAGAGACAGACATAAAATCCTGGCAAAGATAAGAGCTAAAATTAACCAGACACGTGGAATGCTGAACAGCTGAATTAAAACAGAAACTCGACATCATGCAGACAATAACATTCCATCTATGAGTGCCCTCTCCCCACCTTGAGGATGGGAACTTCCTTGTCATCTCAGACCCTTATAAAAGGCCTCTGTGAAAATGGATGAAGTGTTTGGGTAGCCAAAAACCCTCTTTCTAATGCCATACTTAAAGTTCTCCTAAACTTTTAAATCCAACATCCCCTAAACAAATACGTCCATTTATTCACAATAAATCAATTTTTTTTTTCAGAAGAAGATTCAATTAAAAAAAAATTCCTATGTCCCTGCTCTTCAATGTTTTAGCCATTGCACAGTAATGGCTTGCCTAATTCTCTTTTAAAACCAAATTCATGTCCCCAACCATGGAAGGTATTGAGCCCATTAAATTTGGGGTGCTTCTGCAAATGAAGTTTTGTATATGTTTACTTCTTGGTGCAAAAGAAATTACATGCACATTACAGTAACATCAGAAAATATAGACAAGCAAATGAACCATATCAAACAGCTACAATTCCAATCACCCAGAAATGATATATGCATATAAACATACCTGCACATTATATGTGTGCTCCATATGCCACACAAATGTATGAGTAAATCATTTGTCTTCATGAGCATGCAAACATATATATGCACATCATACGTGTCCTATATAAAAATATATACATTGTCTTCCGCATGCGTACACACATATATGTATGCAGATATATCTCTTATGATACAAGTGTATGCATACATTATGTGTGTTTTTCATATACACACAAACACATATGCATACCACATGTGCCTTTCATAGTCACACAAACACATGCACATAATATGTGCCTTTCATATGCCTGCAAACACATATGAACCTCGTCTTTTATGCACATATATACATATATGCATGACATATGTGCCTTTATCTATATCTGTGATTTTCCAAAATTAAGATAATGTATACATTGTGTACATCCTCTATTGTCACCTGATTTTTCACTTTGTCTGTTTTTTGTTTCTCACTCTCACAGGATATACATCTTTCCACACCAATAGACCTTGTTTTCCGATGTAGCATTATTTTTCATAGTTGGCGAATATACAGTTATGGATTCATAACAGCAAGGTATCTAATTATCCTCTACGGTTAGATATTTAAGTAGTTTATGCCAATGTTTCCAACAGATCATCTTGTATTTGTCATAGTGTCAAGCACAGTTCGAGGGTCAGACTTACCTTCTCACTCTACCAGACCTTCATAGCTTATCGATTTGTCAAATTTCTGTGGCATGTTTCAGCCTTGGAGGACAGTCACTTAAGTACAGTTATAGTTCCTCTTTCTATCCTGGCTTGTGGCCGGGCTGTGCCTGAAGGACAGGGCTTCATGTTCGACGGATTTCTGGATTTTTGAACTGTAATTCAGTCCCATTCGGTTCAATAACCGAATTTATTTATTGGGCTTTGCCCCACATGCACATAGCAGATTCTCTGTAAACATGTGTTAAATGAAAACATATTTTTACAAATGGAATCCCACAGCACCTGGCAAGCCACTTCATTCTTAGTTGTGTCAAAGGCAGTACAATGAGGGTAAGCTGTGAGGTCAGACAGGCGTGGGGTCCAGCCGTGGTTCTGCGTCTTACAAAATCTGTGACCGTGATATGTAACTTCTCAAGCCTCCATTTCCTTATCTGCAAAATATAGTTAATTAGGACACCTTCCCCATGGGGTTGTGAAGATGATACAGACGATGTAAGTAAAATACTTCGCACAGTGTCCAGTATGCAAGCAATGTGAGCTGTCATTATTATTATTATTGGCTATTGCTTCCTAAGATAAATGAAGCATTTGAATTAAGTGCTAAGCTCTTAGTGAATACTAAGTCGGATTTAATTAAGTAGTTTTTCAGTTAGTATAAGGGGGAAAAAAAGAGGAGAAGAAAAATGTCTTACTGCTGAATCTTCCTGAACCTCCACAGGGCCTATCCACCCAAATTTGTTGACCGGGCCATTTGGTGAGTGAGCGAGTCTGTTGGAGGTTTTCTCTAGGTTTGGTGCGTGTGATGATAGCACAGTCCTCAGTGACTGCATGGTGTGTTTTATCTGAGGGCCTCAGGGTCTGAATTGTGATACTTATGTGCATGGCTTTTGTTTCCAGATGGAGAAATTGCACTGCAGAGAAATCTTTAAAAGCAATTACCTAATACTGCAGATTGCTGAACTGTACCCACACCCAAGACTGAGCATTGGATCAATCCAGAATATACATCAGGTGTTCTGCAATGTCTGCCTAAAACCATGACTCTGCCTCCTCCAGCTGTTGCTACATCTCACTATGGGTTTCCTGTGACATTTTGAGCAAGTATGCCTCTGTGACTGGGGTTCTTACACTCCAGAATGGATGAGAAGCACCGTAAGTGGCTTTTAAAATGAATATTCCCTGGCCCTTCAGTCGCTCTATAGGTCAAGAATCTGAATTCTCAACCTGTCTAGAAGGTTCTGGTTTTAATGGTCTGTGGGCTGCACATTGAGAAACCTGTTCAGCGAGTGCAACAAAGGTTCCACATGTGAGAAAGGAAGCATCAGGTCTCTTGAGCCTGTTCTTTAATCTGTAGGCTGCACCTTCTCTTTAAATTCTGCTAATAACACCATGCGAGAAAACACCCGAGCTTGAAAAGCCCATGTTCCAACATAACTGTCCTTCACCACTCTGGAAAATTAATGGTTTGTTTCGATTATCCCTTTGTTAAACTCCAAAGTCAAAGAGCTCTGAAAGGCATACGGTTATTTTAAGTTTCAGGTGATTTCTGTTGCCAAATATTTTAAAAATTTAAAATTGCTACGTGACCTCTTAGTAGTACTATTAGATTTCCTGACAATAAAAATAAGTCTTTTGGTTTCACCATTTATAGTTAGTACAGCTAATATTAAGTATAATTTTAAAAGCCTTTTATTTTCTCAGAAAGAAAAAATAATCAAAATCTGCTCAGTGTGGTATTGAATAATTAAAAACAAAAGAACAGTATCTTCACATTAGTGTTTAATATTAATTGCTTTTTTACCCTTGACACTGGTGCTAATTAAATTTTCATTTTATTTTCCATGACTTGTTTAAACAGTTTTTGCAAATTATTGCTAATCAGCCTAATAAAACTGAATCACCTATTAAACAATTTTGTTTTGAATTAAATGGCATTAAAATAATTCTGGCTGCCTTGTGTTATAATGTGTTACAAGAATACCAACCGCTACAGGTAATATGCCTTAGCTTTTACACATGCTTTAAATAAATCTACGGATGTATTTACCTACATGCACAAACATGCAAAGAGGCAGTGTTGGTTAGTTGAATGGGTTTCCGGCTGGATTTATTTCCCGTCTACTGTCTTCTCAAGAGGAAATCTAAGGCAAATCTCTTCAACAACCTGAAACTTGGTTTTCATCATCAGCAAAATAAGGAGTATGTATTTTTGAGGGAAAGGGTTATCGGTGGAAATAGAGGTTTCCCTAAGCACCGCTTTGCAGCCCCTTCCAGCAAGATACGATTAATGGGGTGCGGGGGGGAGAGCCCGTTGCCCCCACTCCCCCGGAGACTTTCCTGCAGTTTCGAAGGTGTAGGACACAAATGGTGGGTCTAAAATATTAGCAGCAGCCACCAGTGAGGAGCCACATGGCTCACAAAGAATGAAGAGAAATAATAGGGCCAAGTGGACCAGTTGGTAAAACCCCGGGGCCCCCACTGCGTTAGTGGGCTCTGGAAGAGGTGCCTTACTGGTACCCAACAGAGCCCTGGGAGGGTCTGTTGCACATGGCGGGGCAGCTTTGGGGGCAGTGGTACACAGCAAAATTGCAGGAGCAAGTGTGAGATTGACCCTCAGAAACTGCGATTACCTATGTGTGGGGGTGAGGGAATGTGAAGGAATAGTCTACACATGCTGGTCAGATGACTACCAACTCCTTTGCACTTACAACGACTCTGTAGTTCACAGAATAGGTAGGTTACTCATATTGTTATGTCTTAGATGACAAAAGAGAATTACGAAACATGAAGTGACTTAATCCAAGATGATGAATGGGGAGGTCAAATATTTTGTGATGAAATCATAATCACAACTCATGGCAGGAAGCAGAGTGCTGGTCTTACACAACACTTTTTGTTGGTGTCAGCATCAAAGGAAGAACACTGAAGCACGTAGGACAAGGCCTGATCTTGTATAACCTGAGTCTTCGGGAAAGATGGTACAGACAGGAGCTACAAGACCTGATCATTTGTGTTGGCTCTGCCACTAACTGGATGAACACTAACTGGATAAACAATCTCCGATGAGTCAGTTAATTTCCTCATGGTTTAAAAGAAAATGATGAAACAAATGCTATCTATCTCAAAGGACTTAAAATGAAAAGAATTAAAAAAATACAATTAAAAATGGTCAGAAAAGTTGAAAGTTTCATACAAAATGTTAAAATATGTACGTTAATGATCTTTATGTACAATAAAGAAGGAAACCTCCTGACATACAGCAATTTGCTGAGTCACATTAATATCTACTTATTAATTGGAAACACCAAGCCAGTAGACAGTAGTAATTTTCTTCTGGCAAATACATTTCAAACTGTCTCATTCAGTTTTCTCATTAGAAACAACAGATGCTAGAAGTTAATGAAAAAAATATTTAAAGTACTCAAGAGAAAGTAACTCTAAACCCACAATTCTATACCTACATAAATTATTATGCAAAAATAATGGCAAAAGAAAGACAATCCCAGCCATGCAGAAGTTGCCCTTCTAACTGGATTTTCTTCCACCCTTGCCCAAAGCAGTCTGTTTTTAACAACCAGTCAAAGGGGTATTGGTAAGGTGGAAGTTGGGCACGTCATTCCTCAGCTCACATCATTTTTAAAACTTTTTTTAAAAACAGCTTTATTAAGATACAACTTAAAAAAATAAAAAATAAAAAAGATACAACTTATATGTCATAAAATTCACCCCTTGTAAGTGTATAATTTTGTTATTTTTAGTAAATTTATAGACCTATGCAACCATCACCACAATCCAGTTTTAAAACATATCCACCATCCCAAAATGTTCCCTTGTTCCACTTTGCAATTAATCCCTGCTACTACTAATACCTCCAAGCTCTAGGCAGCCACGAATCTATTTTCTGTCTAAATTTGCCTTTTCTGGACATTTCAGAGAGATGGACTCATGCAATCTGTAGTTTTTTTGCATCTGGCTACTTCCATATGGCATAACATTTTTGAGATCCATCCATGTTGTAGTATGGATTAGCAGTTTGTTCCTTTATTTATTTTTATTTTTTGAGATGGAGTTTCACTCGTGTTGCCCAGGCTGGAGTGCAATGGCGTGATCGCAGCTCACTGCAACCTCCACCTCCCAGATTCAAGAGATTCTCCTGCCTCAGCCGCCCGACTAGCTGGGATTACAGGCATGTGCCACCACGCCTGGCTAATTTTCTGTATTTTTAGTAGAGACAGGGTTTCCCCATGTTGGCCAGGCTGGTCTTGAACTCCTGACCTCAGGTGATCCACCCACCTTGGCCTCCGAAAGTTCTGGGATTACAGGCGTGACCCACTGCACCCAGCTTAGTTTGTTCCTTGTTTATTGCTGAATAGTATGCCAGTGTGTGGACAGGTCACATTTTGTTATCTGTGCACTAGCTGATAACCAGATTGTTTCAAGGTCTTGGCTCTCATGGTTGATGCTGCTACGAACAACCACGTACACATCTTTGTGTGGATTGCCCACATTGTTCATGCCTTCCCACTTCCTTCAGAGTAAAACCAAAGCTTTGGCTGTGGGCTGCACATCCCTACCCCATGTGGTTTCCTAGTACTGCTCCTTACTGCTGTCCTCTCACCCCCTGCTCCCCCGTCGCTCACACCACTGCCACCACACTGGCCTCCTGGCCATTTCTCCAACACATCAGTCATGCCCTCCCCTCAGAGTCTTTGCCCCAGCAGTGCTTTCAGCCTGGAAGCTTTGGACCCCATTCCAGGATACCCTTGTAGCACGTCTCCCCCAAATCTTTGCTCTTCTTCTCCCTTGCAATCTCCCTTACCTATTACAGACAACTTCCAAGTTTTTGTTATTGAAAATGTGGGGAGAGAACCACAGACAGACAAGATAGCATCACCAGGAGCTGGTCAGAGCTGCACAGCCTCGGTCACCGCAGACCTGCTGAGCCGGGATCTGCATTTTACCAAGGTTCCCAGCTGGTCTTCAGGTACACTAAGGTCTGGAAAGCCCAGTTCTAACATACAAGATGATTTACTTCTTTGTTATACGTATTGTTTACAGCCATCATTTTGTACTAGAGCGTTCATTTCACAAAGATGAGAGATTTTGTTGTTTTATTCATAATGAATCCCAGAGGCTAGAACAGTGCCTGGCACACATTCATTGAATGAGCGGATGTTTTCCTGTAAATATCTGTAAAGAATTATCCTTGTACATTACCTGTAGAAGCCAGTGATTTAAATTAATAGTCTTGGACTTAAGCCTGGGTGGGGAACAATAGAAAAATTAATTTTTTTCCACTTCTGGGCATTAAAAAATATCGGTTCACTAAAGAATGCCTTCAAAGAATAAAGTATGAGTAGATTAAAAATAAAATGAGTAACCATCTAAGACTATGGAAATATGAAGAAGAAAAAGAAGCCAAAGAAGCGACACTGGACTGCCTGTGGGTCACCGCCTGTCTCCCTTTCCCCTGTCACGCAGCCTCCTGTGGAGCCGGCCGTGGAAACGCCCTGACATGGAGTCAGAAGCCCGAGCCCGTGTTTCAGACTTGGCGTTCATTGACCAGAAGAGCTGCTTCACCACTTAACCATGCAGCTTCAAGGGCTCCATCTGCAAAACGCAGGCTTGAACCACAGGACTGGTTATGCTCCTTCTTGTTCTGTGTCCTCTAAATCCACCCCGTGGGATGGTTCTCATCCTCATTTCTAGGAAAACAAGGCCCAGGTGGAATCTCTTTTCTCATCTGCAGGACTGATGCCTTTCTTGGCCTAAATTTCAACAACATGTGACTATAAAACTTACCTGTGTGTGAACCCTACAGATATTTGCGGGGGTGTTGTGTGGGGAGATGACCCCATGGTGGGCCCCTAGCGCCGGCCTCTTGCTATCATGCTGAGCACGCCCACCTTGCCGCAGCCTAGGATCTCCCTTTCCCACCGGCACTCTCTTGCCTGGAGTGTGGATCCACTGTGGCTTTCCCTCGCCCCATCCTCCAGCTTGGTGGGTAGTAATATCTTCTGTCCCTCTTTAGACTCGGGGGCCTAACTGGAAAACAGGTGCATTGGTAGATTTAGTAGCAGAGGAGTCCAAGAGTTCTAGTGCTCTACATGGGCATGAGACCAAAGCCCATAAATACATGTTCGCGGGGTGCCTACTGTATACCCAATGCTGTAAGGTAGTGTCCCCAAAGCATACTGCTGCAGAACACTAGTTTTGTGGGGTGTTCAACGATATTACCTGGAGAAAAGAGTCCAGAATCTAACAAGTTTGGGAAACTCTGGATTAAATAAGGTTAACTATGTTTCTTTTAGGTAGTCCTTCTCAGAGACTTAAGATGAGAGCATGCATTGGGAACTTCCAAAATGGGAGATGCAGTGGGAGGCACTCCCATAGTTAGGTAACCAGGCAGCCCCTTTTTACTTATTTTATTTTATTTTTTTGAGATGGAGTCTTACTATGTTACCCAGGCTGGACTCAAACTTCTGAGCTCAAGCAGTTATCCCACCTCAGCCTTATCCCACCTCAGCCTCCTAAGTAGCTGGGACTACAGGCACGAGCCACCACACCTGGCTTTTTTAAAAACAAAGGACCATATTTTGGAAACACATAGGCCCTGTAGCACACAGACCCATGGGATCTCCTGGCCACCTGGCCCAGCCCATCTTCCGCAGATATGAATCCTGGACCTGAGGGAGAAGCGAAGCAACTTGCCCCAGGGCCCCACGGCTAACACTGTAGGCCACGCTTCCCATTTCTCAGCTGAAATAAAAGGTATGTTTTTGTTGCAAATATTTAGTTGACCATTAATTTACCTAAAACCAGTGACTCTCACCGGGACACACAGACTTTTGAAAAGAAAAATCATTAAAGTGAAAAAAGGAGATTTTCAGGTAACTGCAGTTTTTTATTTTTATTTTTTGACATGGAGTCTCGCTCTGTCACCCAGGCTGGGGTGCAGTGGCACAATCTCGGCTCACTGCATCCTCCACCTCCTGGGTTTAAGCAATTCTCCTGCCTCAGCCTCCCAAGTAGCTGGGATTAGAGGTGTATACCACCACGCCTGGCTAATTTTTATATTTTTAGTAGAGACAGGGTTTCATCACGTTGGGGGCTTAGTCTCAAACTCCTGACCTCAAGTGATCCGCCTGCCTCAGCCTCCCAAAGGGCTGGGATTACAGGCATGAACCACCACGCCCAGCCAACTGCAGCTTTCTAGCAGCCAAGTGTGTGTTCTTTATTATCTTGAATCCCAGTGAAAAATTAGAGAAAAAATTGTGTGTATATGGCACTATCAAGTTTGAATGTTATACTTTTTACTAAGAGAAATAAAATCAAGGAAACAAAATGCAATAATAAACACAACCTTAAGTTGTCAGTTTTCTCTAAGAGGTATAATTTCATCAAAAGCATAATTGTAAGCTTTACCTTGTTAATAACTTTATTGATCATAACTGATTATTGCAATGGACTGAATGTTTGTGTCCCCCAAAATCCATATGTTGAAATTCTAACCCCCAAGATGATGATATTAGGAGGTGGGGCCTTTGGAAGGTGATGAGGTCATGAGGATGGGGCCCTTGTGAATGAGATTAGTGCCCTTCTTAAAGGACACTATTTCTGCCACATGAGGACACAGGAAGAAGGCAGCTGTCTGCAGCCTGGAAGAGTGCCCTCATCAGAACCCTAACATGCTGGCTCCTTTATCTCCAACTTCTATCTTCCAGAACTATGAGAAATAGGTTTCTGTTGTTTAGAAGCCACCCAGTCCATGATACTTTGTTATGGCAGTCTGAACTAAAACAGATATTATCTTGATTATATTTTCTAAAACACAATATGTTTTGACCATAGTTCATGTACTGACCAACGCCTTTTTAATCATCTAGGAGAAAACAATGCATTAATCTTTCCAGCATTGCAGTTATCCTCATTTTGGTAGAAGAGAGAAAGTCCTCTGAGGTCAGGGAAAAATCAAAGTTTGGAACCACAATACATGGTATGGTGGTATGAATAGAAGTGGTATATGCATTGTCCTTCCAGGCTAGAGGGGGATCATCAACATTCTTTGAGAGTGGCTTCCAGGTGGTCGTTCAAATCAAAGTACATGTTTCTTCCGGAAGCTCATTTAGTAAAATATGTGGTGTAACTATGAAAACTTGGTTGCCTGAACTTTTCCCTGTTGGGATGTGCCATACTCCTCTAGAAACATCAGAAAAGATTACAACTGGTCATCACCAGTCTTTTGCTTCATCAACAACAATGCAAAATGGCTATTTAAAGGAGCAACACTAGTTAGTAAAAATATATTTGCATACACAAAACTGCTAACATCCAAGTGCCTGGCCATGTTATTTTCAATAAAGCCACAATCATTACTTTTTCATTTCATCATCTTTTTCATTAGCATGGGAAAACCTTTTAGTAGCAGAAGCTCATTTGCTTTTATCTACTTTTCTGTGCTCTCACAATAAACAAGCAAAGCAACTTAATTTCAACACATGGATAGAAAGAGCATAAGTCTATATTCCCTTCTTTTCTGGGGAACAAATAGGGCAGGGACTTCTGAAACTAGAGATGTTCCTGTAGAGACAGATATGTGTAATATCTGTAAAAATTTACAAAGACAATGCTACAAGTTTGCTGCGTCAGACCATCAGAATTGTAATTGCTTTTGTTCTTCCAAAAGCCCCACAGGATTTAGTACATAACTACGTAATTGAAAATCGTTTATTATCTATGCCTTACCTAGGTTTGTTAATTGCCTTACGTTTGTTAATTAATAATTTGAAAATGATACATGTATTTGAGATACATATGTGTGTGTATATATATACACTTTTTGTATATATAATTATATATATAAAGTATATATACTTTTATAATATTATAGATGTAAATTTATATATACTTTTCCCTAGTTCTGTGCACTGAAATGTCTTAGAACAACACCCAGATTATGGCTATGAAGTACTATTTCCCACAAAACCAATAAAATGAAAATCCATGGGGAGCCTTGGAGAAGTGGGTGACTCTAGGTCTGAGGTAGAGAATGTCAAAGGTGAGACTGGACCCCCAGGACACTGTCAAAGATCACTAGGACTCACACACCAGCCTGACGAGGCTCCCAATGGCCTCAAACACCCCAAAGATGGGGACCATTCGAACATTATGCACACAATAGTTTCAACGGACCAAAACAACTGTGAGTTTATAATTGATTTTTTTTTTTAAAAAAACCACACACCAAAAATCTAACTAGTCACTATTGGGGGATGCTGATGACCAACTTATTTTTTGAAAATGGGTAAATAAGGGGAAAGAGACAGCCATTTATTCACCTTTCCTATGCAAACTATACTACTGGTAACCAAACAGCAAATGAGGGGAAGTTTTTCTTTACAGGAGCATTCTAGCTAAGAAATGAAGGAGGCGTGACAGAAAATAACCATTTTGCAGCTCCTTGTGGACTAATGAATAGATGCATTGAGCAATAACAATTGCTACTATGAGAGAGAGAGAAAGAGAGAGAGAGAGCGCACGCCAGATATTATATATCCTGATGGAAGAATACAGCACCACCTGTGAAATATTTCCCACTCCTCATTCTCTGCTGGAAAAAAGGACCTGACTCTGAACAGGCCTCTAGATACAACTACCAAGAGAGAGGAAGTACAGAGGGACATGGGAAGCCACCATGGGGATGCCATCAGCACTCTGGTCAGGGGAGATGCTACAGGACAGCAATGTGGCTTCCACCAGAAATAAAATGCAAGAAGGACCTTTAGATTGAAAAAGACCTGAGACATAACAACGAATCACAGGCGTGGGCTTCATTTAGATCTTGACTGAAGCAAATAAACCATAAAAGGAAATAAAATTATGAAATGTATGAGTCAACTGGAAATTCAAATATGACTGGACATGTGATGGCCTGTTAAGAAACTATCTTTGATTGTTTACAGATGTGATTGTGGTATTGTGATTATGTTGGGGGAGGGAAAGAATTTATCCTTTTAGTGACACATACTGAAATATTTACAGATTAAGTGATAAGGTCTCTAGGATTTGCTTCAAATTAGTATAAGAGTAGAGTACCTAGGGGCGGTTAAAATGAAACAACATTGTTCACGAGTTAATTATTTAAGAATTTAAAGCATATGGACATATGGGGATATATTATACTATTCTGTATTGAACTACTTTGGTGAAAATAATGAAAAGTTTTCAAAAAATAATTATATGTGAATAGTAAAAGTAAAAAGAGGAATGCCTATGATTATTGAAATAATTAAATTAATACATACCTTTCTTCCTTTATCTAGAGGTTCATGACATTAAATATCTGTCTACACTTACCGCTGTCTTCCAAAACAAGAATAAGGATTGCAAATCTTAAATTAAATTGTCATGACAGTTGCATTTCTCTTGCATTACATTCAAAATTCTATACTATATCAACTGCTACTTTTTGAATAATAATGTGTGCTAAAGGCTTTTCAAAGTGGAATAAAAGCAGTGTGGTGGAATTATAATCTTTTAAATAAGCATGGAACTTGCCAGCTTAATAAAAACCTTCACAGACATTTCATTTAATTCTCACCGAACCGTGGGATAGGTCAGCTAAGCTTTATTAGCGCCAGTTTTATGATGGGGAGTGAGAGAGAGAATAACATCCAAGGTTGCACAGCTATTAACTGCCAGAAGTAGAAGAGTCCACATTCTTTTGCTTCCTGTTTGGTATTTTTACCCACCACATCCCCTAACCTCTGCAACTTAGAAGGGCAAGGTACCTTGTAGTTTAAATGACACATTAAGATAAAAACGTATCTTAATGTATATAAAATGTATGATTAATGTGTATCTTAATGTGTATAAAATGTATCATTTTATAAAATCAAGAAATTAGATTAATATGATGTAAATGATGATATTTAAATCCAAGAGCTAATTTATTTAACATTTAATTTTTTTCCAAAAATGTGGCTTCTGGTGTTTCCGTCAACTTTAAATGCTCTCAGGGTTTTCACAACAAAAATTTCAACAGTAAGAGCGAGAAACTTTCCACTGATATAAATCATAGGGTAATTTGCTAATATATATTACTGAGTAAAAAATGTGTTTAGCTCAATTATAACCTCCAAGTACTTCTGGCTTTATTATTTCATCATTTCATCATATCTTTCTGGCTCTACATATCTTTATCTCTGATACAGTTCATTGTTTTGAGATTCTGCAACCTTAAAGAACTACTAAGTTTGTATAAATGCTAGAGGAAAATAACATCAGAATCTCTACCACGAAAAGCTAAAGCTCACAATTAATGAGCATCTTATGCCCCTGACATTATTGTGTGTCAGTCTTTCTGTAGCTAGAAATTGTCTCACAGTGTTTTAAGTGATAAAGTAAGGGGAAGGATTAAAACAAAGCAAATCCAAACTTAAACATGAGAAGGCATTCCCTGTGCGAAAGCTAGCAGAACTGTGTGAGGAGGGCACAGGCTGGGATGAAGGGCAGTGGGAGGGAACTCCAGAGGAAGGGAGGAAGGAGAGGATGCAATTTAGGAAGGATGACCAGGAGGCCAAACCCACAAAAGCAGAAGTAAAATCTGTGTGTAAGGCAGTAGGAAGCATAAGTGATATTCCCAAAAATCAAATCAATAATGTGGTGGTCAAACTCGAGTTGTTTCCTTAGAACACAGAAAGAATAAAACAAAGAAAGAAAATATATGGAATAAGATGATGTTTATGGAGAAAAGTGGATGTTGAATGAGCCAATGTATATATTCTGGAGGGAAAAACCAGAACAAATGAAACAGGAGAGAGAGAGAGAGAGAGAGAGAGAGAATCTCCCAAGATGAAGAAAACACCTGTATCTTTTATATAGATTAATAGAGATCATCATATCATCATATGGTAGGATGGACCAAACCTGGTCATGTATATCCTGGAAAATATTTAACAAGGAAAATAAAGAGTCCTCTTGTCTTTCTGGCTGGAAAAAGCTATAATCAAACCTATCAGAGAAAAATCAGGCTAGACTCAGAATCTACAAATACTATGTAATAAAAGAAAAACTGAGTTCTGAAAGAAAAATTTTGACGCATGAATTGACAACCAGTCAAGTTGTTACTACATGTGAAGATAATAGATAGTCTTATGCATGCATACAAGAGCTTGGAAAACAAACCATTATGTATTTTAACCAACTAAGAAATGAGGTAGAATTAAGAGCTCAAGAATGAAGATATAAAAAGATTTGCAATGAACACTGAAATTAGTTAAAATAGAGGTAAGCCTAAACATGGTTGTAAATATAAATATGCTAAATTAACCCAAATACAAAAATTAAGAATTATTCTCAAAGGAGATGATATGAGGAAAAAAGTAATATAAATATTTACAATCTGGATTTGATGAAATTCAGCCTCCATAGCTGATAATTAGCAGAGTATTAAAAAATTTTGTTAGTAAATATCTAGGAGTATAATAGCACTTATTTAATATAATATGCAACATTTATTTGAAATAATTAATAAGCATTTAACTTACTGAAATAACATTCATTCCCTGTAAAATCAAGGGCAAACAAGATTTTTACTACCAATGCTAGGATTAAGTGTCATCCTAGATAGCCTAACTAATGCATCAAGACAGGAAAAAGAAATAGAAGATAGCAGTGGAAGAGAAAAAATAAATGCATCATTATTTTCAAATGATGTGACTGTCTCCCGGTTAACCTAAGGAAATCAACTTAGACACTGTTGCAATGTGTAAATAAATGACTTCAATACTTGTCCTGTAGACTGACAATAATCAGTTATAAAATAAACAAGGAAAAATGCACTCAAAATATCAACCAAAGTATAAATTATGGGAGTAAATTTAAACAGAAAAATAAGAATCTTTGTGAAGGAAACAGCAGGATTTTACTGAGAGATTTTTTTAAAGACAAATAAATTGAGTGATAAATATTCTTAGAAACACATTGGAAATATAAAATTCTCTACAGTTAATCTACAAATTTAATATAATTCCAATCAAAATCCCAATGTGTTGAAAGTTTTGTTTTTTATTCTTGTTTCATTCTTAATGAGAAGAGGGAGTTGGGGAAACTTAACTTGTAATTTGTAAAGTTTGTCTTGAAAATGAAATGCAATCACACAGCTTAGTGTTTTAGTTTTTAGTTTTTTGGTTTATTTGAAAGGCACATGGTCTTAAAATGGAGTGGTATCCAAAATCAGACCTAAATACAGACTAAACATAGAATTTAACATATAAAGAAGACAACAGCTAAATAGGGTGGAAACCACCAATTAACCCATTGGGGAAAAATAAAATTAGATTCTTTCTTCATATACAAAAATAAATCCCAGATGGATTAATAAATTAGATGTAAAACTGATAAACTACAACAGTACTTTCTGTGTCATAAACCACAGAGACAAGATTAACAGATTAGTTACATAAAATTCTCAAATTCATGTATGCCAATCATTTCTCCTTCCACCCTAAATATAACAATGAAACAAAAACAAACTCACTTTTGGCTGCAAGTGAGCTACTGGACAACCAGTGGTTTAAGTAGTAAAGATATTTCATTATCTCACATCACAAAAAGTGGGAGGTAAGTGGTTACAGGTTTGGTACAGCAACTCACTGACACAAATTCTTTCCATTTTCCTCTCCACCATCCCTTATGTGTGGGCCTTTCATGCTCCCACTGTCATCTCATATTGCAAGATGGCTGCCACAGCTCCAGCCATTAAATCCACATTCAAGACAGGAATAAGTGGAGGGGAACAGCACCAGCCATAACTTTTTATAAGGAGCAAAACCATTCTCAGAACTCTCGCCAGCCTTGACTTCTGCTTATATCTTAATTGTTAGATCTACATCATAAGGCCTCTCGGAGATACAAGAAAAAGTAGGAAAACTAAGATTTCCCTTTGCAGTCTCGGAAGAGAAAGTCAGGCAGTGGAGAATGGGATTGGCAGTGGGCTCTGGGTTAGCTAACCAACAGTGGCTGACCTACCCAGCATTCACAGAGTTAGACAAATGACGAATTGGGGCGGGGAGGTGGGGGAATTACAGTGTCTGAAAGGAAATGAAGAGACACATTGCTGTATAAGAGTTCTTACAAATAAATATTAAAAATATTGGAAATTATAATAGAGTCTAAGGATGTTGTTAGATGTCAATTTACTAAGGGAAAAACCCAAATAGCCATTCAGTAGATGAGGAAAATGATTATTTCACCAGTAATCTAAGAAATACCAGCTTGGAAATTGACTAGGATTATAATGTTCAATGTTCTCTGTGGGCGAGGCACTCCAGGCATCTGCTAATGACAGCATGAACTAAAGGCTCTTGTTAATATGCGTCAATGATCTTTGCAAAGGTTCACGTCACTTGACATAGCATTTCCAAGAATTAGCCTAAAAAATATCTAGGAAAATATTTAAAGATACATACATGGATTTTTATCAAAACATTGTTTAAAATAGCAATAAACTTGAGGCAGTTGGTTAAATAAATTATGTTATCCACTAAAAATAATGCTATGGTTTTCTACCTACGGATGTGGAAAGGTCACGTGAAACATTGCTGAGTGGAAAAGCTACTTGATTTCTTAAACAAGGAACATGTAGTCTTTGCATCAGAAAGAAATTTTTTAAGTACAATAAAACTCCAGCTTTAGAAATCTTAACTTGCATGAATACTGTGTGGATATTTTCTTTGCGTGTTTTTGTGTTTTCCAGGCTTGATTCTTTAAACATACATTATTTCTTTTTATTGAAATGAAATTACATACAGTGGGACACACAGCTCTAAGTGTACAATTCAGTGAGTTTTTACAAATGTCTACACCCGGGTGAGCCACATGGCAATGAAGTTCCCTTGTGTCTCCTTCCAATCAATCCTCTCCCCATAGGCAACCCCTGTTGTGACTCACAGCATATATTATTTTTGTAATTTAATAAATGCTTAAAATTTAAATATAAGAAAATCCTCACAGGAGAACTTGTAACCAACATACGATAATTACAACAAACTTCAGATTGAGAAAATTTGGCATGAAAAATACTGTTAGTGTAGAATGGCAGACTTTTAAAAATGAGATATCTGTTATATTTTTTAAAGGATTTGCACTCTCATTATCCTTCATCAAACCCTTCTAATTTTTCTGCTGTCATAATGAAATATGTTTTCCATACAACATTATACACGTATATACCATTTAAAGATAGAATTCCAGGAAAGAGCCGATTTAAAGCCAGGCATTCACCTGGAAAAGTTAATTTCTTCCTCCTCATTTAAGAATGCCTCTTTTTGTGTGAGTAGGGGAGGGAGGCTCGTGAATGCCCAAAGACTTTGAATGAATGTTATTAGCAAAAATACACAAAGCTTCTGCCATCAGGGATCTCACAGCCCGGTTAAGGAGATAAGACTAAAGAAATTCGTGTGTAGCACAAGATAGCACATTATGTGAGACCCAGGTTAGGAAGAGAGTCAAGAGCCCTATTCTGCCCAACAGTTGTAAGGATTACAGAAACAGGAGGCTGTGAAAGCCTTTGTAAATCGCCTGCTGCTACCTGACACGTGTCCATTGTGGTTCTCACGGGGTCTGATGGAGAAGCCAAGGTGTTCATCGCTCAGTCTGATAAGTCTTGACCCTACCCCGCATCCTGACGGCCTGTATGCTCTGAAGGAGCACAATTTCATGAGGGGTAGAGAGGGACAAGAGAAGGAACATGAGGCCGGCGTGATCCGCCCAATCACAGAAGCCCAGTGCGGCCCGGAGTGAGGGGAAAGGCAGGCCAAGGAGGCAGCCCAGTGACCAAGGCCCCAAGGTGATATCCGTGTCCTGCTGTGAAGGGAAAAGAGCAGCCTGGTCTGAGAGTGCTGGGGACACGTCTTCTAGCATCTCCAGCAATAAGGATGGGGAGGAGGACAGCTCGACATGTCAAGCCTTGAGCTCACGGGCTGCCAGGGGCAACCATCATCTAAGCAAACTGTGGTCCTGCCGAGGGTGGGCAGGGCTTCTGTCACTCACAGGGATCGGGCAGGCAAGCCCCCTCCAAACCACTAATCTCCACACCCTGGCCAGCATCCTTCCCTTGGGGCTGAGGAGCCCAGGAAAAGTGGTGCTGTGTCCACCCCGACCAAGCAAAGCATCAGAACCCTGTGGGTTTTAATCCTTGGGAGCATTTTAACCCAGAGGCTTCCTGCTTGTGTAAACTTGTAAGGCCTGACACATTTATGCAGAATTTCTCCTGGTGTGAGAGAAGCAACCCACTCTTTCCAGGTGGCTTAGTATTAAACCTCAATGTGTTTTCCCCAGAACCCTCTTCCTGCAGTTTGCTTACATCTGAGTAGTGGAGGAACTTTTTATTCTTGTCCCCTCCAGACTTTCCCCAGAGAGCGTTCTTCCGTGGGCCCCATTCACCCAATTTTCAATACCCAGGCACACATTAGGACCTCTCAGAGCCTGCGCAATCTTCTAATAAATTTTGACCCTGTAAAAGTGCATGGCAAAAGAAGGTTTCTGCCCTGAAGGCCCTATGGGTGCTGCTATAGTCACGATTTTTGCAGCATGGGTCCCTTTAAAGCAAGCCCGGAGAAACCAAGCTGAGCACCAGAGCGAGCTCCCCGGCAGCAGCATGTCCACCCTCTGCAGACTCCTGCTCAAGTGCTTCCACAGCCCCCACATTCCTCAGTGAGGGAGGACACACACAAACCTCACTCCCAGGGAACGTGTGTGCTGGAGGCAAGAGCTCTCCTAGCGATGTCCTGACGTCTTGGTGTAGACTCGGTCCCCCAAAGCCCATCTGTCCTTCTAACGGCTCAGGTCACTGAGTCTCAGGCTGGGAGCAAAGGGGCGCTTCCAACGTGAGGCCCAGAGAGGCTTAAGTCGGGTAGGACCACCATCTGGATTGTCATATTTGCTGGTTGTCGATTCAGGATGGGAGAGGACCAAGAAGAGAACACAGGCGGGAGCTGGGAGGGTCGACGGCTCTCGGCCTCTGCTTCTTTCTATAACCCAGGAAGGTGGGCTGTTTCTAATGAGATAAAAAATACATCTATCGGCCAGGTGTGGTGACTCACGCCTTTAATCCCAGCACTTTGGGAGGCCGAGGCGGGTGGATCACGAGGTCAGGAGATCGATACCATCCTGGCTAACACGGTGAAACCCCGTCTCTAATAAAAACACAAAAAATTAGCCGGGCGTGGTGTCACGCGCCTGTAGTCCCAGCTACTCGGGAGGCTGAGGCAGGAGAATGGCGTGAACTCGGGAGGCGGAGCTTGCAGTGAGTCGAGATCGCGCCACTGCACCCCAACCTGGGCGACAGAGCAAGACTCCGTCTCAAAAAAAAAAAAAAAAAAAAAGCAACAAAAAACATCTATCCAGCTCTGACTGACTGTGTAACAAGCACATTGCTGAGCTCATTTCCATTTTTGTAAAATAAGAATGATAATACATACTTTGAAGGGTGGTTGTGAGAGAAAGAAAGTCTAATTTCTTTCTATTGCCTACTTCATTTCTCTTTTTCCCCTGATGGTCCCTTAATCTTATAACACAAAGAGCCTTTGAGCCTCTTACCTAGCTTAGGCCTTGGTTTCTACACAGCCAATTCTGACACCACTTCCCCCTCATCCTGTCCCCAAGGCCAAATAAGAGACGTTTGTCGAGAGGCTTCTGTTCAGTTCTGAGATCTGCATCTGTCAACTTGCTTTTGCAGATGCGTCTCCACTGTGGTCACGCTTTCAGGAGCAAGTTGAAGGTCTGAGGCCTTCAGCAGTCCTGTTTTTTCAGGGCATACGGGAGGAGATAGCCCTGCAGCCCCATCCCGCACTGAGCCCTCAGGCCCTGCAGGGGAGGGAGCTGGCTGTGGGGGCACGTTCCTCACTGTTGGCTAGAGTCAGGGATTTTCATTATGCCAGTATCTTCCAGCTAGACGGACTGTTTCATTAGAAGCATTAAAGCCATTTGATCTATTTATGATCATAGATTAGCTGTTGTAACAAAAATTACACAAGTATACTTTATTTTAAAGAAACTCAAAATAGAAAAAGCTGAATTTATAATAACCCCCATGATGCAATTTCTCATATTATTGGGAATTCTTCACCATAGAATTCCTCCATCAATACCTTTAAATCCAACAGAAGGATTGAGAGAGGAAGAACCTCATTTAGTTGGGTGGGCTTTAAACTGGACTCCCTGGAGCCATGGGGATTTTCTATAGACATGCCCCGGGGGACACCGCACTGAGCCCCGACACTTACAGCAATGGAAAACCAAACAACGAAAACCGAAAGCCAGCAACTCCACTGTCTGTTCTCTGTACCAGGCTTCGTGGATAAGGTTTGGTTTGAAGAACAGATTCTATGACTGAAATATTTTCAAAAACCGTGGACCCGGTCTAACAGCATTTGTTAAACAAATGAGGACCCCGAAGAACAGAGAAGGGAAGAGGTTTGCTCCAGAGTCAGATGTCGAATTTGCCTGCCCTGATCTCAGCCTAGTGTCTGCTAAATTTTCCAAATGCTGTCTTTTTGTGAGGGTTGGGGAAAATAAAAAGGGAGGAACAAAATTAAGCAGATGTGTATATTTTAAAACATCAGTAACTATCTGGAGATCCATCATAAATGAAGAGAGAGGATCACTAAATATGCTACATAATTTCACGAACATTGCTTGGGAATAGCAATGGAAAGCTCTGAAAGTCTGAAGAGATTATTTTAAAGGGATAAATGTAAAGTTTTTAAGTATATACAATGAAGTACAGAGGTCCTTATAGCACATACTAATTTTTTTTTTTTGAGATGGAGTTTCGCTCTTGTCACCAAGGCTGGAGTGCAATGGTGCAATCCTGGGTCACGGCAACCTCCGCCTCCAGGTTCAAGTGATTCTTCTGCCTCAGCCTCCCGAGTAGCTGGGATTACAGGCGCCTGCCACCATGCTGGGCTAATTTTTGCATTTTTAGTAGAGACAGGGTTTCACCATGTTGGCCAGGCTGGTCTCGAACTCCTGACCTCAGGTAATCTTCCCGCCTCAGCCCCCCAAAGTGCTGGGATTACAGGCATAAGCCTGTAATTAATTGATGAGAATTCATTAAAATTTAGATCAATCACTGATGGACAGAAACTCTAAAGATTTTCAGAGTAACTTTTTTCTCTTAAACACATCAACCTTTTCCCCTTTCCATTGTTTGCTTATCATTTGCCTAACAGACTGCTTTTACACTTAATAGTCTAAAGGTAAATGTCAAACTATCTCCTGGCCAAATTATCAGGACGTTAGAATTTGTGGAAATTTACTCTATGCACATCTGCTACGGGGAACAGGGAGCAACCATTTTTTGTGTGGCGCCCTTATCTATAGAAACAATGTAAGTCACTCAACATTAGTCCATCAGCATCATTCTGGCTGCCCAAGTTTATGTGATCCCGTAAAGGAAGTACTGTCCCAGGCAGTGACAGTGGTCTGCGTGCCAGGTGCCCCCTACGGGATGACCTTGTTAGGCAAGGCCCTAGCTCCAGGCCATCTGGTCGACCCCACCTGCAGAGAGTGGATTGGAGACTATCCCAGAAGGGAGAGATGACGGCGGGGACATTAGGACAAGGCTCAGGGAGCTATGACTTGAGAACACTACAGTTCCAGCCACCAGAGACAGGGAAGAGGCAGAATCCCCCTTGCCTGGATCAAAGAGTGGTACTGACTCTGCAAGTCAAAGCAGCAAAAGAAATGGAAATAGAAAAATTCTATATGCTAGCAACTTTTCAGCCATATCTCTCTGAGCAGTAATTAAACTTGGAGTTGAATATCAAAAGAGAAAGGGTGCTATTGCTGTCCAACTGCATTTTGAGTGTCTTCGCGGCAAACCACTTGCATTTCCTGTTTCATGCATCACTGTGATGTTTCTAAAGAATTCCCTATGCCTTTGGACCGAGGATGATTATTCTAATGTAGGTAGGGCGCCAACTGGCTCTATGGAGTTTTCAGTCTCCACAGGGATTTTTTGAAAGCATATCTTTCAAGTTAAACACAGCAGGGAGCCAAGCTACAAGGGTCCATTTTTCCACCTGTGGTCACATTAAGGACCGCAGTAATTGGAACTTGACAAGAGCTCCTGGTTTCCACAGAACTAGGGGTAGGCACGTACATTGGCAACACTGTGTGTAAAGCTGTCCTCTCCTCTGTGTTCACCACACTGGAGTCTGTGGGGGCTGCAGCTGGTTGTGAATAATCCAAGACAAGGAATTGGCTGTGCTGCCCAGCACAAAAGGCTCACGACAAAACCTTGGTGGCCAAACTCTGAATTACTCCACGTGAGGCAAGATCCCCATCCTCATGGTGCCAGGGAGAGCAGCCCTTCCTGGGGGCTAATCCCTGTAGGTAGAGACCCTGCTGAGCTGGCCTGGCAGACCCCAGCAGGAGCCAGGGCCTGGGGGATCTGCACGTATTTCAACATCAAATGCACAAAGCGATTCCTTTCACAAATCAAACACTGGCTGCTGTGTCATCCTTCTTCAGGACAGGTTAAGATTCATCTAAGATTCCGAGGCAGTGAGGTGGGAGGGACACTGCCCATCAGGTGTTGGCTTTTTGTTTCATATCTCCCTCAGGTAATCCCTCCTTCACATTTGTCTTGTGCCACGCTGGAGACAGAGCATTTCTGTTTGCTGCCCTTGTCCCCAGTCCCTATCTGGCCTTGCTGACTACAAGAGGTTGGTTACCAGTGAGTCTGCTCCAGCCAGACTAGAGCAAACCCAGCAAGTGCAGAGCCCACTCTGCCCTCATGGAGATCAGTATCATCCAAGTCATCCCAGACAGCATCCAGAATCAGTCCCGGAGCAGGGCTCAGGTCGCCTCTAAAAAGACAGGCTGGCCGGGCGCGGTGGCTCACGCCTGTAATCGCAGCACTTTGGGAGGCCAAGGTGGCGGATCACGAGGTCAGGAGATCGAGACCATCCTGGCTAACACAGTGAAACCCCGTCTCCAATAAAAATACAAAAAATTAGCCGGGCGTGGTGGCGGGCACCTGTAGTCCCAGCTACTCAGGAGGCTGAGGCAGGAGAATGGCATGAACCCAGGAGGTGGAGCTTGCAGTGAGCCGAGATTGCACCACTGCAGGCTAGCCTGGCAACAGAGCAAGACTCTGTCTCAAAAAACAACAACAACAAAAAAAAAAAACAACAAAAAAAGACATGTTTCTAAATCCCATTCAATATGAGCAGCTGATGTGTTTAAGCAAAGCCTACCAAGAAAATAGGAGAATATCCAGATGTTTCCATGAGCAGGAGTCTTCATTCTGACACCATTTCCAGAGAGTTACCGCTTGCAGATCAGAACCAAAAATCCCTAGAGAGGAAAGCCTCTCCCCTTCTCATTTCAGATTCCACACAGCACACCTCGTCACCTCCTTCACACCCTGGCTCAGAGCTTTCCTCCTAGTGAGGCCTGTTCTAAGCACCCCATATAAAAGTGCCCCCCCCCACTCTCACCCACACGCCCACACATGCACCCATAAACACACACACATGCAGGAAACACACCCACATGCTCATCCAACATAATCCCAACACACGTACACACTCATACACACACACTTGCACACATATACACACTCACACAACACTCATACCACAGCCTTTCCAATCCCTCTTCTCTGTTCTACTTTTTCCCTTTTTTTAGCATTTCTGACCTGAAAAACTTCCTTATTTATTAAGTGTGTTGTTGATCACCTCACTCCTCACTGCTGAAATGAGGCTGACAGGAGTCCACGTTCTGTTCACTGATGTATGAGTGCCCAGAACTATGCCTGCCACGTGGAAGATGCTTCACCCATATTTGCGCAGTGACCTTCAGACAGAAAGAAACATGCAATTAGATTGTGATGGGTTTTCAATTAGTGAAGACATCTTACTACTAGATGATTTAAAAATAAAATACTAAAATATTTGCACAGGTTCACACTTCAGTTACCTTATTTAATACACTATTTATTCAGCAGCCTTCTCCTATGGGCTCTATTTAGGCTGCAAAGAAAAAGAGGGAGTGGAGAAAGGGAGGGTGACTGAGTTAGGGAGGATATAGGAAATCAAGAAGAGAGATCCCCCTTTATGTGAATCAGGAGGCTAAGACTGCCCTGTAGGGGCCAATTCTAATTTTGCAGAGCTGAGATCTCTTCCCCAGCCATTGCTGACCTGAAAATCCCTCACTGGGTTCTGGAGTTGCTGTGTATCATGCATTACTTGGTCTATAAAAGTGACCTCTCTGGGGCAGGATATTTCACAAAATTTGGGGGATTCAAATGTATTCGCAGTGACAGCTGCCTTTGACAAGGATCACTGGTCAGTAATAACTTCCTCGGATGTAGCATGACTGCGGGTGTAACGGGGATAGTCCTCAAAAGCCTGTCATCAAAAGAGACTCTCCCCGTCTTCCTAAAGGGGAAAACCAACGCCAACTTCAATTTGTTAAAACCAAAACAAACAAAAATGTCTTTAGGGCCCCAGTGCTGTCACACCACGCCTTTTCTCCTGGGTTAACTACTCAAGGGAAGGAGTGAAGAGGAGGCCATGAGACAGTGAGACAAATCCAGTTTTTAGAAACTGAGGCTTGCCCTAATGCTATCACTAAAACGGCTGTGTGTCTTTGGGAAAGGCATGCAACTTCTCTGATTTTCTCACCTCTAAAATGAGGGACTTGTGGGCAACATGGCGAGACCCCATCTCTACAGAAAATACAAAAATTAGCCGGGTGTGGTGGCACGTACACCTGTAGTCCCAGCTACTCGGGAGCTGAAGTGGGAGGATCACTTGAGCCATGATCACGCCACTGCACTCCAGCCTGGGCGACAGAGCGAGACTCTATCTCAAAAAACTACAAAATAAATGAGGGGCTTGGAAGTAATCCAAGAGCTTTGCTTCTCCCTGGAGCCAGTTTCTCAACCTCTGTTTCCTCAACTGTAAAATGGAAACAGAATTCCTTCCTCAAGTAGCACAACGCCAGCACACAGTAAGCACGTGGCTGGCTGTGGCTCCCTCTCCCTTTCCCTCGTTCTGCCAGTGCTGTGGGGGGTGTTAGTGTCATTGATTCCTGTTTCTCCCCAGTGCCTGTTGAGGGGTGCGGCGGGAGGTCCTAATGGAAGCTCTGTAGGGCACAGAGGAGTACTGAGGTGACCCCATGTATAAGGCTTCGGCCTTTGCACTCATTGCCAAAGGGTGGAGTTGGAAAGAAATGCTGCTGGGCAGCTATTCATCATCGCAGCCATCCTTCGTGGGCTCCTTCTCAACCCCAGCTATGCTAGAATGTGTCTCATCAAAGCCCCACAACAACCGTATGGGGCAGATGCAGTTGTCCTATTCTGCAGGCCCAGAAGGGCTGAGTAAACCGGAGGTCATGGAGACAGGATTCCGAGCAAGGCTCATTTCCCCCAGAGCCCGCATTCTTTCTCTGGCCCTTCTAGCTATGCAGTAAAAGTGGCTCTGGCTTTAGGCTGAGGAGAAGAGCCTCCTCTCCCAAGAGGCTCTGACCTCCACCGCGAACATCCAAATGATGTCTTAGCCAGGTCTTTTGCCAGCTGCTCAAAGGTGCCCTGTGGCCCAGGGTGGGCCATGCTAGGCATGACCAGCTCCAACTGTAGGTCACAGAGGCTGTGGCCAGCTTTCTCCTCTGCACTGGCGGCCACTGCCCGCATCTCAAACACCTGAGCAGCAGCAACACCATCTCCACTTTGGAACTTGTTAAAGATGCAAATTCCCAGCCTTGCTCCAGCCCTACTGAATCAGATTCTCTCACTAGCCCTCCAGGGAATTCTTGCACACGCTCAAGTTTGAGAGCCACTGATGTCTGACCCCATGCCCTGGATTACCGTAGCTCTAGGCTGTTGGAGCAGGAGAATCGAGCTCAGTCTTCTCACAGCCTATGGAGGTGCTGACTCCCTGTTTGGTGGAGAGCGATGGGCATGTGTGTGTGGGTGGAGGGGGAGATAAGGAGAAGGTTCTATTTCCAGCAAGAACAAGATGTTTCTTCCACCAGAATTAGCACAAGACAGCCCGAGCCCAGCCAAGGTAAGCCAAAAAGTCCCCAGGGGAGGTTCAAACCCAGGGAGTTCATGGGCAGACACCAAGTGCTGCAGACCAGAGAGGGGTCAAAGGGAGAGCCACGGGCCAAGGAGCAAAGAGCCGTGACACCCAGCAAGGTGGCAAGCACAGCCACAGACAGATCTGGGCCACCTGCTGCCCAGGAGGTGGCCGCAGGGTACACAGCATATCCATCGGCTTGGTGGAGCCGAGCCAGGGCAGGCAGGACACCTGCCTAGGCACATCAAGAAAAGGGTGGCTGCATCTGCCCCTCTGTCATTCATCTACTACAGAGAAAAACAAGGCAGTCCTTCCTGGTCCTAGGGTGGCTATATAGCTGGGAATGGGCAGGGCTGCTTGGGGAGTTAGGGTGAAGGTAGGGAATGCTTGGGAACGTCACGCCAGGGCCCCTTTGCCAGAATTCCTCACATTAAGATGACAGATAACCAGCAACGTCACTTTCAGCAGACAGTTTCTGCGATAATGGAAGCCACAATTGTTACCATCAGATGTAATTAATCTTCAGACCAATAATGAAATGCATTGATGAGCTTGTTAGTTTCTCCATATAGTGCAATAAGAGTGTTTGAACTCAGCAGATGTTTATCTTCTGCCAGAGGACAACCCCTTCCCATTCTTCCAGAGTAGGAATAATGTGAGAACAACCCACTTCACGGTCCACACCACAGGCCAAGACGAGAGGAGGAGGGGCTCCTGCCTATGACCCAGAGGAGCAGAATGACCACCCACCCCTGAAGGGCTCGCTAACCCCTCCTCATATCAGGGGGTGAGGAGAGTGCTGCAAAGCACTTTTAAGTGCATTTTTGTGATCACTCCTTTGTCATTTCTCTATGGCAGAATCTGCCACAACGTAACCCGTGCGAATGAGTACAGGGAGATCACAGATTGCAAGGAGGGTGCTGTCAAGGCAAGGAGCTTCTCCTAGGAGACTTCCCTGCTTCATTTTATGAGAAAATAAAAGACTTGTGTTAAGAAATTGAATTACTTTTATATTTTATACTGGTGTGTTGAATATAATTTATTAAAATGCTTCTATTTCAAGAAAAGCTGAAATGAAACGTGATTCCCTAACGAATCAAATTTAGATAACTAATTTGATATTGGCAGAGGAGAATGGCCAGGAAGATGGTGTTATGTAATTTTTTTATGACAAAAAGGGCAGCAGATGTGGGTAGAGCAGGAGAGAGGAGGATCTGCAGCAGATGTGGAGGGAGAGGAGAGGGAGGGAGGGGACAAGGAGGGAGGGTGCCAGAAAGGGAAGAAGGAGGAAAGGGAGAGGGAGGGAGAGTGCAGGAGAGGAGAGAGGGAGGGAAGGGAGTGGGAGGGAGAGTGCCACAGAGGGGAGAGTGCAGGAGGGTGCCAGGGAGGCGAGAGGGGGTGCCAGGGAGGGGAGAGGGAGGGAGGATGGGAGCCAGAATTCAGGGAGGTGGGCACATGCTTGTTGCCCCTTGAGCACTCTTGATGTCCAAAGATGAATGCTGTGTGTTTACAATGTCTAGAATTTCTTTTCTAGGCTGGAAACTTCAGCGAACAAAGATTTTAATGAGCAGAAAGCTGAAGACCTGAACTGATCTTAAAACTTCTACTGTGGTGCCCTTCAAACCATTCTCCACACTTCAGCAAGAAGGATCCTATAAAAACCCAAATGTTATCCCCATATCCTTACTCTACTTAAAACTTCACTTTTCTCAGAACATAGCCCCATCATGAAGCAACGCATGACTCTGTGTGTGTGTGTGTGTGTAGATAAATGAAGCAAAAGTATGATTTGATTTGAATGATTAGGAAAAGTTGCACCATTTTCAGTGTCTTTAATTTTTCTTTCTCCTTTGACGCTTGAGGCCTTAAGGAGAACATCTTTTCTAATTGTTTCTGACGTACTATATGATGTTTATAATAGTCTCTTATTAATTAAATGCAGGTCTCAGCCGTATACGCGGCTCACCACGACTGAGTCTGCACACTGGAAAGCGCTGAGCACAGGGTCTGGAGCACAGTGTGTCTTTAATAAATGTCAGCTTCCTTTCCCTTACTTTCTCCTGACAAATATTATGACTTTGTTTTATTGAAAGTAGACATCTCAGAATACAAGAATATCATCCATTTTGAGAAATGGAGCAGAGCTTCCTTTGCAGTCGGCTGTATTGAATGAGATGACCAGTGTCTGCCTTTGTTGATAAGAGAGTAGGTGCTGCAGTTCAAGGTGCCCCGGCCTCTCTTGACCCCTTTAAAAGGTTTCCTGATGTTTACCCCAGTGATTTAGACAGGTAGCCAAGAGCGATTTCTGAGCAACAAAGAACTGTCCTGTCAAGGGGCTTATTGCCTGTTCACTGCTTTCTAATAAAACATCCAGTGTGGAGGCTTAGATGCCCTGAGGTACAGAGAGAGAATTCCCCTTATAAGGGAAAGGACTCTGCTGATAAACAGCAGGGTCAAAAGAATGCCAGCTCACGGATTCAAGCTTCATCAGAGGCCTCCTGGACAGCCTCACCCTGTGGACATGGTTGTTGTTCTGTTGCTTACTGAGGATGTGTTTCCCAATTTTATACAGGAGTGGACGAGCTCAGATGTACAATGCACTTCCACCCTGTGAGCCTGGATTACATATAGCAAGGCCATGTTGCAGAGCCCTCGCCAGGTTGGGAGCCTCAGACTCGTGAATTCAGCACAATGGGACTGCCAATTACCCATATGGGATGCTGAAACACCCAGGAGCTCAGACCCAGAGCAGGCTTGGCAGCCCCTCCCCTGGGTGGCCACTACCCAGCCTGCCTGCCTCCCCCGAGGGGGCACTGGTGGCCATCTGGCAGCTCCCTCTGAGCTGTCACCCAGTCTGTTTTGTCTTTTGTCTGGATGTGACATGACAACGTGTTAATTAAAAGGTAGTTAAGCCAAAATGAAAAGGCAATCCAAAACCTGGGGAAATATTATAATTCATATGAGAAAAAAGACAACTCAATAAAGAAAGAAAGTACAATGAACACACATAAGCAGTTATTAAAAAGGAGTACAAATAAATGGCCAATAGCATATTTTTAAGATAATCAACCTCACTAATAATCAGAGAAATTCACACTGAAACAAGATCCTTGGGAGTAGAACAGAAGAGGTTAAGTATTGCAGGAGACTGACAGATGACAAAGACAGAAAACACAGAGTGGTCCTGGGTGTGGCAGCCAGTGACCAACTACCACTGGAGAGAGTGGAGAGCTATGGCTTTTCTAAAAGGAAATGGGCAGCATGTTTTTAAAATGCAGACACAGTAGGACCCATAAATTACACTTCTAGGAATTTATCTTAAAGAAGCAACTGGACAAGTGTGCAAAACATAACAACACAGCCACATATGCCTCAGTCTTGGTTACAACCGTGGAAATGAGAAGAGCACACATATCTAGTAGGGAATCAGTTAAATAAAGCGTGTTAGATAATATACCAATGCAATAAAATTATATATTATGAGAAACATGAAGCGCTTTGATGTAGAAATATGTTCATAATATACTCAGAGAAAAAAGCCATTATGAAACTCCATATTTCATTGAATACTACACACCATCAATGATAAGATACACACTACATTATGTACCACTAAGGGGAGAAAAGGTTTGCACTTACATAACAGGCCAGCTATAAGGAAACAAATTAGTCAAGGTGCCCCTAAAACTCCTTCACCTTCCTTCAGAGTGCAACACTTTTGAATAGTGTTTGTGTTTAGCAGTGTTGCTGTTCATGCTTTTCCATGTAGTATGGTCTCTGTATCAGCAAGAGCCTTGGTCATAGCGTAGTTCTTAAAAGGGTGCTCAGTGTTTTCTTCTGAGATTGATTCCCATTTTCCAAGTTCTGATGTGTAGCTGAGAGGATGACAACGACTATAAGGGCCACAGCAATTGTAAACTCGGTCCCACTTTCAGTGGTGTGGAAATGTGAAAATAATACGTGAATTTCAGAATCATTCAATGATCACAGTGAATATAGTATAGCCACTCCCGTGTGATCAATTTGGACAGCCTTTGTCTTGTCCCCAGTTACTGGGAGGAAGCCTCTAAATCCTTGGAATTTCCCCAGTGATACGATTGTCTTTGTTACTTATGGTGGGCCCTGATAGTTTATGCTAATGAGGTGATCTGGGGGCCCCTAGATAGTTTAAGTTAAGGAGATGGCTCAGGCTGGGGCTGGCCATGCCAGAAAGGCTAACCATGATTGAAGGTTGGGGCTTTGCGTCACATGGTGTCAGCCCAACCTACAGAGAGAGATGGTGGCTGGAGACCTAGTTCAACCCTGTGGCCAGTGACTCAGTCATGCTTACTTAATGAACCCACGAAACAAAAACTGTTTTGAAAATGTAGACTTAAAATGAAGCAACGTCTGTCCATCTGTGTGTCCATCCTCAGTAGGAATTCGGTCACTACAGGACATGGGTGGTGCGTTAGCCTGTTTTGCATGGCCGTAACCGAATACCTGAGACTGGATAATTGATAATAAAAGAGGTTTATGTGGCTCACGGTTCTGCAGGCTGTACGAGCATGGCTCTGGCCTCTGCTTCTGGGGAGGCCTCAGGAAGTTTTCCTCATGGCGGAAGGCAGAGGGAGACGAGGTATGTCACATGGAGAGAGAGAGCAAGACAGAGATGCCAGCCTCTTTAAAAATATCAGATCTCCAGGTAACTGATAGAGTGAGAACTCACTCACTACCTCGGGGAGGGCACCAAGCCATTCATTAAGGACCTGCCCATGACCCACACACCTCTCACCAGGCCCCACCTCCAACACCAGGGACCACATTTCCACATGAGATTTGGAGGGGACAGATATCCAAACTATATCAGGTGGAAACTTCACTTTTTGGTTAAAGACAAGATTGTTTCTGAAAAATAAAATTCATCCCAAATCATTAAAACTACTTACTCCGAACAGTATTATTTTTAAAATTTCTAACTTAAAAAAACCTGCCCAATGCCCAAAGAAGAACAAATCGAACTGTGTTCTGAGGTCATTCAGTCACAGGCCTTAATCCTGACTGCTGCAGGGAGTCCCTTTTAGGAGAGAGAACAGCAGATATCTCACGCCTGTGGCTCGGGGGTGGGAGGGGAGGAACACAGCTCTGAGCCGTGGCCTCTGTCCACCAACAGGAAGCATCACGATGGCCTTGCACACACTTGCTCGGACTGCGTCTCCTGCCACCGATCCCACTTCACCTGCTGTTTCTAACCCGCCATGGATGGGAAACGGAATAGCCACACTTATAACTGAAACAAGGGTGAGCAGGCCCCATGTGAGGTCCTGAGGGGCCCTCCCATCGTGGGATTCCTTAGGACGTTTGTGCCAGTGGTCTCCGTTTTGCCTCCTCAGCAATCTGGACTCTGCACTCTCAGTAACACTCCTAAGTGTTGAAGCAGCCATGAGACGACCTTCACATAGCTGGGTCAGTGTGTGCATTCAGCACAGGCGCCTGCAACCTGCAATAGGCCTCTCTGCATCATGCACCATGCACCATGCAGGATTGCATACACGCGCATGCACACACACACACACACACACACACACACACACACACTCCCCACCTCTCTGAACAGTAGCTAAACCTGTTAACCTGTTCCATTCAAAAAACAACATTAGGTTCATTGAAGTTTGTAAATTACAGAGTAGGGCTGAAGTGGTTGCCTTCGTCATTAAAGCAAAAATCAATGAATCACCTGTACTGTCCCCATAAAAGGAAGCCTTTAGTTTTCTAGGAACGTGTAAGGTCAAGGGCCTGCAAGCTTGAAATGCCCTGTGTGTTGCCAGCAGCGACTCCTTCAAGGCTGGCAAATATCTATGAATGCAAATACCTGTGCTCTGCTGAGCAGGTAAAGGTCACAGGCTTTCAAGTGCTCTGGTACACAGTGACCCCACCAGTCTCTCATCAAGAGCTAAAGTTTATTTTCCTTCCTCTTTAATCTGGACTGGCCCAGTGGCCTATTCAACCAAAAGATTAGCACAGAAGTGAAACTTTGTAACTTCTAAGATTAGGACTTAAGAGATGTGCAGCTCCTACCTTTGCCGTTTGAAATGCTCTTTCTAGGAACCCAGCTACCATGCTGTGAGGAAGCCCAAGGAACCACATGGAAACGCTCATGTGGAGAACTAAAACCACCAGCAGACGGTCCCAGCTGAGCTCCCAGCTAATGGGCAGCACCAACTTGCCAGCAAGTGATTGAGATCATTTGGGACTTCAACTTATCCCAGTGCCCCAGCAACATAAAACAGAAGAAACTCCTAGTCCATCCACAAAACCATGAGATCTAGCCACTAAGTTTTGGTGTGGTTGCTGAAACTGATTTAAGTGGCTAAAATTATTCAGGGACACAGAAAATGTACTGGGGATTTTTCTGCTATTGTGGTCTGTGTTGCAATCCTTTATACCACCATGTAGCTTTTATGCACACCTGGAGGTGTTTCCCATGCTTCGCTGTATTAGTCCGTTCTGGCATTGCTATAAGGAACTACCTGAGACGGGGTAATTTATGAAGAAAAGAGGTTTAATTCACTCACAGTTCCGCAGAGTGCACCGGAAGCATGGCGGGCAAGGCTTCAGGAAACTTACAATCATAGCAGAAGGTGAAGGGGAACCAGGCACATCTTCATATGGCGGAGGAGGAGAGAGAGAGTGAAGGGGGAGGTGCTACATACTTTCAAACAACCAGATCTCATGAGAACTCTATCACGAGACAGCTCTAGGGGGATGATGCTAGACCATTAAAAACTACCCCCATGAGGCCGGGCGCGGTGGCTCATGCCTGTAATCCCAGCACTTTGGGAGGCCGAGGCGGGCGGATCACAAGGTCAGGAGATCGAGACCATCCTGGATAACAGGGTGAACCCCATCTCTACCAAAAATACAAAAAAAAAAAAAAAATTAGCCGGGCGTGGTGGCGGGCGCCTGTAGTCCCAGTTACTCGGGAGGCTGAGGCAGGAGAATGGCGTGAACCCAGGAGGTGGAGTTTGCAGAGAGCCGAGATCCCGCCACTGCACTCCAGCCTGGGCGACAGAGCGAGACTCCATCTCAAAACAAACAAACAAACAAAACAAAACAAAAACAACTACCCCCATGATCCAATCACCTCCCACCAGGCTCCTCCAACACTGGGGACTATAATTCAACATGAGGTTTGGGTGGAGACACAGAGCCAAACCACATCACCCACCATAACTGACACTTTGACAAGGCTGTGGCGAGCTCTCTCCCTGCCAGGGTCACAACTGTCTTTTCTATTTTCCAAAAGGGCACATTCTTCTCCAGATGGCAGCCCTTTTTCTGAGGAAATTGGGGGAAATTCTCCAAACCTGGACCATTATTTTTCCTTCACTTTTTCTTCTTGAACACCTTGCCTCTCTCCTCCTTTCCCGTGCTCATCTCAGGAAGTTTCCTGATCCCTCAGCTCATGGAAGCCCTGTCTTCACCCAGATGGTCCACCATACTATCCCCCTGCCTGTCACTTGATGTCAGAGCCCTACTTCTGGGGGTCCTGCTGCTATGATACACCGATCAAAACCAAGACTACCAACGGTGAGGCTCTTTCCCTCCTCAGGATGAGGGCTGTAATTGTCCAGACATTCCCCACATAGGTGAGGTGCAACTTTCACCTCCATCTTTAAGAGTCCAGTGTCCTGGATCTCTGCTCACAGCCCAAAGTCTCCTCACCATGCTCCCAGGAGGCCTAGCCCAGCAGGTCCTCAGGTAAATGAAACTCCGGGTGGTTTCTTTGGTATCCAGGGTTTCTGAGTGCAGTATTAGACCCACATTCCACACCTACTGGATTGTTACAAGATTACTACAGATAAGCCATTTGTTTAAATGCCACCATATGATAAATTAATAATGAAGTAGGCTAATAATTAGATTTACAATGGCATATGTTTTCCAGTGATTTGCTTGGTCTACACACACACACACACACACACACACACACACACACTCACTTTCCTGTTACTCGCGTTGCTCCCTGCTGTCTTCTCACCGTTTAGCACATAGGGTATTAAGCATACTTTTCATTTTCTGTATTTCAGGCTTTGTCATCTGCAGCCGTGCTGACCCTGGAGGGACTGCCTCTTCAGGATTAGCCAGTTCTAGAGATAGCAAACAGCTCACCCAAGAGTGCAGTTTTCAAATACAAACCAACCAATCCAGAGAGCCCACACCTCAACCACCTCCATTATTGGGATCTCACATATGGGCCACTATCCACCTGCACCAGTGCACCAGTCACCCTGGGGCCAGGTTCCAGACAACTTGGGGGAGCTCTTCTGCCCCAGAGCTACTGAAATTATTCAGACCAAAACAGTACTGAGCCTGTGCACCCTGCCTTGCCTCGTCTTCCTGCAGAAGCCGCTGTGCAGGCTCCTGCCCTGGGCTTACCCTCTACTCCTGCCTCCGGATGGACCCGGTGCCTCACTGTGCCTCTACCCTCCACCCCCATTGCATGGCGTGGCCCCTCCTCTTGGAACTGTGAGTGACAAACTCTCTTTTCAATTGCAGGCAGCTCCTGATGTGTTGACCTTCCCAGGCCTCAGATTCCCTATAAATACATTATGTTTTAAATTGCACAGTACCTGGAACTTTGTAGCTGCTCAATAAATATATGATGAATGAATGTACCAAATGAAATAGCTGGAAGATTTCAGAGTTTCAGGCATATGAGTACCTAACCTCTCTCTCTTTCCCTCTAATGTCTTCATTATGATATTGTGATTCAGGATGAAGCTTCTGGAGCCACAGTGCCCTCGTAGCAGTGTGACGTGGGCATATTTCCCGGCTCTCTGTACCTCAGTTTTCTTGCCTATAAAACCTGAAAAATAATAAAAATTACCTGACAGCGTTGTTGTGAGGAGTAAACAGCTCACATTTACAAAGCTTTTAAAATGGTGTCTGGCCCACACTAAAGTGCTTAAAACACCAGCTTTCATTATAATTCCCCGCAAACCATTTCTCTGCTCCTCCTGCTAATGTCTTGTAGGCAGAGTTGGCTTCCACCTTATAGACTGTCCTGGGTCTTCCTGAGCCCCAGAAGACTCATTTCTTCAGCCCAATCAGTGCCAATGATTAGAGTTATGGAAAATATAGGGGAGAAAAACCTATCAATAATAAACCAGAAATTTTTTTCCAGACAGAAGGTAGGTAATGCCATTTGTTATCATTTTACTCTCAGATTACTACAGAATTTAGCCCATGTGGGTCTAGAGTTATCTTTTAAACTCATAAAAGGAAGAAAGAAAAAAAAACAGAAATGCAAGTTCCTCTCAAAAAAAAAAAAAAAAAAGCATCCATACATCAACAGAAGTTACTGCAGGCTTCATCCAGGCCTCTAGGGAGCTCTGTTCATCTCACACAGGCCCTCTCACCTCTCACAGGCATTAAACAAGCTGCGTTATGTCCCAGGGGAATGCTTTGTCAACCCAGTGAGGATGTTTGGGTACAAATTCTACTGTGCTGGGCTGAAAAGGGAAGGAGAGTTCTCCTTCCTGAGAAAACAACAGAGAAACTGGGGAAAGAACAAAGGAAAATGTGAAGCAAAAATAAAGTCCAAACTTGGTGCAAAACAGGAAGGGATTTTAAGACCGAATGTTTTCTTTCGCTCTGGTCATTTCCAGTGCAGTGAGAAAGCATCAGCCTCGGCCTGGATTTTAAGATTTAAAGGTTTTATATGATAGAGAAAGGCTGTTTCTCTCCCTGTGTCTTTCTCTTTTTCTGTCTTTCTGAATAAACAAACAAAAGAGAGTGGAGGGGCAGATGTGGCCTAAATCATTCACCCTGAGTGATGGAAGAGAGAGGTTAAGGCACCTGCACATAAATACACTAGTATATTCGACCCCTGTGTTCCAGGCAAAGTTATTTTCTGGTGTCATGTATTTGAGGTCCTCAGAAATAAAGAACATGCCTTTTTTGCTCATCTGTGAGTTTTTTGTTTGTTTGTTTGTTTGTTTGTTTTTGCCTAGCATGAATCCTGGTTGAAAGTAGGTACTCAACAAATGGCAAGAAATGGATGCAAAGAAGGGGGGATGGATGGATAAATTAGTGGATGAGTAGGTGGGTGGGTGGGTGGATGGATGGATGGGTGGATGGATGGATAGATGAATAGATTAGCCCTAAGAATTATCTGGGAGATAAACAAATGAGTATCAATACTTCATTCTGAATAATCAACAGCTCACTGAATGGTCCTTCCTTTCAACCATCCTCATGAGGACCTTTTAAACTTAGGTAGGCCCAGAGTCTCAAAAACATGAACTCAAATGAATTTTAATGACCTTGGCAATGGAGCTGAATTTCTAATTTTCACTGATGGCCAAAGCCAAAAAAATCTTGGGCCCAACTTGGATTGGCACCATGTCCAATGGTAACCAGGGGCCAAGAAAGAGCCATTAGTAAAACAGCAGAAACATTCCAGCATCTCATCATTTTCTGTTGACAACCTTGACCTTAAAGCATTAACCAATCTTTCCCCTGTGATTCCAGCAGATCTGAGACTTAGATTCAATTTTTATTTACCAGAGATTTGCTTGATAGAGATTCTAGTAGTCCATCAACCCAATGTCCATTCTCCCCTTCTTTCTTAAAAAAAAAACAAAAACAAAACAAAACAAAAAACAACAACAAAAAAAAAAACACAAAGAAAAAAGCCCTTCAATTTGTTTGGGATGAGAGGCAGTGAGACACAGCTGAAAAACATTTTCAATAACACTTACAGCTAGGGATGGTCAGTTAAGTGAAGAAAAATAAATCTTTAATTGGTTTAAGACACTGTTTTTCAGAGATTTGTTACTTGCAGTCAAACCCATTTCCTAACTGACACTCCTTCTATACTGGGTAATCAGTTTGAAAAGATGCCTTGACAGAAGGAGACATTCTAGCAAAGTCCAGGAAACTAAACAAGCAAATCAAGTGCCTAGAAGTTAATGGACTGGTTTATCACCTTGGAAGCTAATACAGGCAAGGACAGCGTGAGTGCTGTCTCATCCACAGGAGTTACCTTGGAAGGCAATACCAGCATTTCCCAAGATATATTTGAACCTTGTTTTTGAACTGTCTTCTAAAGTAATTTATAGGCTACACAAGTTCATTTTCCTTTGCACTCTCATCCCATTTGGGATCAATGTTAGCATCGCCAACTTGATAACTCATCTCATTGACCAGAAATGGCTTCATTCTAGATGACTTTTGACTATTTCAACAAATCAAATATTCCTTCAGAAGAAGGACTTTTGTCACCATGGAGATTATTAAAATGAAATTACATGGAGGCTGATTCTAGTTCCCCTGTCAGTCTTCTCCCTCTTCCCTATACAAGATAGGACAATAGGAAGCTGCCAGGGGAGAGCCTTCCCACAGGAACCCCTGTCCCCTACACTGCCACCAAAATCAAGATTTGCCTGTTGGTCTCCTACCCCATGGCCACTCTATATCTGAGTTAGTTCCCCCAGCTCTGACCCTGTCTTGTCTTGTCTTTGATGACCTCTCAGTATGACTCAAGCTGGGCACAGCTGGGATACAACAAAGGTTCAGGAAAGTGCTGTAGAGCTGGACCTGGCCAGGACCAGGAGACAGTGGCATCCACGGAGCAGGGCAGAGCCCATTTGCAGACATCACTGTGCCCTGTCACAGGTGTGAGTAGTCCTAGGAACAAGCCAAGAGAGGTTTGTTATCTGGGGAATGCTTCTGAAGAACCGCCAAACCAGGAGGAAGAAGACAGCCAAGTCCAGGAAACTGAGCAGATAAGTCGAGTGCCTAGAAGTTAATGGACAGGTTGATCATGTTAGAAGGTTAAACTGGAGAGGAAGGAACTAGGGGAACCACTGCATACTGCAAATTGTGGATGGGCTGAAGGCTGATTCAAGAACATAACTTGAATTCCATGCTAGCTCAAATAGAGGAAGCCCCTGATAGCGTACATCTTCCCCTGATTACAGCTAAGAGCTCCTGTTAACTCCAAAGAGTAAGCAAGAGAAATTTGAGAAAAGAAGTTGAAACTTGAGGAATGACCAATATAGTGTTTTTTTCTTTTTCTTTTTCTTTTTCTTTTTCTTTTTTTTTTTTCCTTTTTTATCTCCTGGCTTTGACCCAAGGATGAGCCAGAGGGTTAGAACTACACAGAGGGCATGGACAGCAAAAACTCTGCCTGCAACCCACTCCCTCCAGCCAGAAAGCCAGGAAAAGGGATCCCTAGGAGCCTGAGAGTGCAGGAGGATTCCCCTTCTTGTCTTTCTTTTTTATTTTTTTCTCATTTTTCTTGTCTACCTCTGCCCCAAGGTCAGCCTCAGTTGCAAAGCAATACTGTTTCTGCCTCCACAGCATGGGCATATAAAACCTGAGGAGAAAATTTGTCTCTCTGTCCACAGGAACCACAAAAAGGGGG
Source organism: Homo sapiens (assembly GCF_000001405.40). Taxonomy (NCBI): domain Eukaryota; kingdom Metazoa; phylum Chordata; class Mammalia; order Primates; family Hominidae; genus Homo; species Homo sapiens. The sequence continues at coordinate 3,558,928 of NC_000006.12, read as the reverse complement.
CCCCTGAGAAATGGAATGTGCTGAGGGGGCGTCACCTCACTGGGTGAGAGCTGGAGACAGGCATCCCCCAACTCTGAGAATGGACCTACCTAAGTCCCAGGCTCACCCTTGAGATGCGCATGCATGGAGCAGACCTTGAAGACCATGAAGAAGCATTTAGCAAGAGCTTTGAAAACTGAGCTACAATCTAAACCCTAGCCTGAGAACGTCCAGAGGAGACCATGAGTGGCACACACACGTGGTGCTTACGAAGCACAGCAAAGGGCTTTGGAATCGGAATGGACATTGATCTGCCAGCCACAAGAGGCTAGTCAGAAATTGGAGTCTGAGGCTAACCAGTTTGTCCATCAAAACAAAAAGAACGATGCTGAAGAGAGAATTTTTTTAATAGACTTTATTTTTTACAACATAGTATTCTCCTATACCCCACACCCAATTTCCCTTATTATTAACATCTTACACTAGTCTGGTACATTCGTTATAATCAATGAATCAATACGGACACACTATTTTTAACTAAAATTCATAGTTTATTTGGATTTCCTTGGTTTTTACCTTTCTTTGTTCCAGGATCCCATCCACAGCACGTTGTATTTAGTCTCAACTGTGACAGCTTATTTCATGCTTTCTTGTTTGGTATGACCGCGGTTTTGAGGAGTACTGGTTTGGGTATTTTGTAGAATGTTTGCAGAATGTCCCTAGCAATTGAAATTTGTCTGATATTTGTCTCATGATTACACTGGGAATAGGAGTTGCTTGGGAATTATTTGAGGTAAAATTAACATAACATAAAAGAAGCAATTTTAAAGTGTGCTATTCAGTGGCATTAGGTACATTCACAATGTGTGCCAACATCACGTCAATTGAGTTTCAAAACATTTTCATTACCACGAAAGGAAAACCTGTACCCGCTAAGCAGTCACTCCTATTCCCCACTCCTCCCCATCCCCAGAAGTCATCAATCTGTTTTCTCTATATATAGGTTTACCCATTCCAGATATTTCATATAAATGGATTGTACAATATATGATCTTTTGTGTCTGAATTCTTTCACTTAGCAGTGTTTTTGCAATTTATCCATGTCATATGGATAAATAAAACATGGATAAACATATATTTGTACCTCATTGCTTTTTATGGTTTTATTTTTATTAAATGAATATCGCATATATTGTGTACCCATTCAACTGATGAAAGACATTTAGGTTGTTTCCATGTTTTGGCTGTTGTGAATGGTGCTGTTAAGAAAATTAGTGTCTACGTTTTTATTTAAACACCTGTTTCCCATTCTTTGAGGTATATACCTAGGAGTAGAATTGCTGGGTCATATGGTAACTCCATATTTAACATTTTGAAGAACTGCCAAACTGTTTTCCAAAGCAGCTGTGCTGTTTTACATTCCCACCCACAATATGTGAGGGTTCCAGTTTCTCTGTGTCTTTGACACTTGTTATTGTCTGTCCGTTTTTAATGAATGTGAAGTTGTATTTCATTGTGGTTTTGATGTTTCCTAATAGCTAACAACGTCAAGTGTCTTTCTTGTGCTAATTGGCCATTTGTATATCTTTTTAAAGAAATGTCTATTCAAGTTATTTGCTTACTTTCTAATTGGGTTGTTTGGTTTATGGTTTATTTGTTAATTGATTTATTTTTATTATATGTATGTAAGGTATGCAACATGATATTTTGATATGCATAATACACAGTAAAATGATTACTAAAGTCAAGCAAATTAACATATCCATCACTTCACATAGTTACCTTTTTCTGTGGTAAAGTACCTAAAATTTTGTCTTTTAGCAAATGTCCAGTGTACAATACAATATTATTAACTATGATCACCATGCTGTACACACATCTCTAGATTTAGTCATTCTACACAACTATAACTTTGCACCCTTGATCTATGTCTCTCCATTTCCTACACACACACACACACACACACACACACACACACACACACAGGGTAGCCACAGTTCTATTTTCTGTTTAAATGTAGGTGAATTTTCTGGGTTTCTTAAAAACGTTTCCTTTAGATTCCATGTACAGGTGAAATCACACAGTATTTTTGTTCCTATGCCTAGCTTTTTCACTTAGAATAATGTCCTCTAGGTTCAGCTCTTTACACATTCCGGATAATAAACCCTTATCAGATACATACTTTGCAAATATTTTCTCTTATTTGTCGGTTTGTCTTTTCACTCTCTCAATGGTGTCCTTTGAAACACAAAAGTTTTTAAATTGGGTAAAGTCAATTTATCTACTTTTTCTTTTGTTACTTGTGCCTTTGATGTTATATCTAAGAAACTATTACTTAGTCCAGGTCATGAAGATGTACCCCCATTTTTCTCCTGAAAGTTTTACAGTTTTAGTACTTACATTTAGGTCTTTGGTCCATTTTGAGTTGATTTTTGTATACGGTGTCAGATAGGGACCCAGCATCATTCTTTGAAACATGAATAAAAGTTGTCTCTGGTTACCCCTGGACATGGTGCCAATCCAAGTTGGGCCCAAGATTTTTTTGGCTTTGGCCATCAGTGAAAATTAGAAATTCAGCTCCATTGCCAAGGTCATTAAAATTCATTTGAGCTCATGTTTTTTGAGACTCTGGGCCACTACCTAAGTTTAAAAGGTCTCATGAGGATGGTTGAAAGGAAGGACCATTCAGTGAGCTGTTCACTATTCAGAATGAAGTATTGATACTCACTTGTTTATCTCCTAGATAATTCTTAGGGCTAAATAATCTATTCATCTATCCATCCATCCACCCATCCATCCATCCATCCACCCACCTACTCATCCACTCAATTATCCATCCGTCCACCTTTCTTTGCATCCACTTCTTGACATTTGTTGAGTATCTACTGTCAACCAGGTTTCATGATAGGCAAAAAAAACCTCACAGATGAGCAAAGAAGGCATGTTCTTTCATAAGGGGTATTGGTCTACAGTTTTCTCTTCTTGTGACACAATTACTTGACTTTGATACTGGGGTAATGCTGGCCTCCTAGAAAGAGTTAGGAAGTATTCCTTCCTCTTCTATTTTTGGAAGAGTTTGAGAATCACTGGTGTTAATTCTTTTTCAGAGAATGTTTGCTAGAACTCATTTTTCTGGTCCTGGGCTTTTCTGGTCCTGGGCTTTTCTTTTTTAGGAGGTTTTTGGTTACTAATTCAATCTCTTTTTTTGTGACAGATTTGTGAAGGTTTTCTATTTGTTCTCAAGTCTATCTAGAGAATTTTAACAGAAGCCAGTGTCTCACAAGATAATATTTAGAAAAATTTAGGATACAATCCAAAATTAAACAACAATGAAGATTCAGAAAAATATGTCCAATTCTTTAGGAGAAAAAATTAATAGCTGCAAACCTGAGATGATCCAGATGTTGAGATTATCAGACAAATCTTTAAAGCACCTATCATCACTATACTTTATGAGGTAAAAATGAACATGATTGAAACAAGTGGAAAGATAGAAATTCCGTGCTGAGAAACATAAAGTATTAAAAAGAACCAAATGGAAATTTTCAAACTAAAAAAATATAATATCTGCAATTAAAATTTCCTGGGTGGGCTTAAAAGCAGAAGGAAGATGACAAAAGAAAGAGTGAGTGAGCTTGAAGATAGATTAATAGAAATTACATAATCTGAAAAACAGAGAAAATAGTAAAAGAATGATGAACGCATTAAGGTCTTGTGATACTTAAAGTAATAAAATATTTTACTTTACTGTAAAAATGTAGCACATATATTTTAATACCAGAGTAACCATTAAGAAATAGAATGGACTAGATGCAATGGCTAATACCTGTAATCCTTAATTTTTTTTTTTTTTTTTTTGAGACAGTCTTGCACTGTCACCCAGGCTGGAGTGCAGTGGCGTGATCTTGGCTCATTGCAAACTCCGCCTCCCGGATTCACGCCATTCTCCTGCCTCAGCCTCCCGAGTAGCTGGGACTACAGGCGCCTGCCACCATGCCTGGCTCATTTTTTTTGTATTTTTAGTAGAGATGGGGTTTCACCATGTTAGCCAGGATGGTCTCGGTCTCCTGACCTCGTGATCCACCTGCCTTGGCCTCCCAAAGTGCTAGGATTACAGGCATGAGCCACATGCCCGGCCTGTAATCATTAAATTTTGAGAGGGCAAAGTGGGAGGATCACTTAAGGCCAGGAATTCGAGACCAGCCTAGGAAACATAGTGAGACCCCATCTCTACAAAAAATTAAAAAATAATAAAAAATACAGAGATATAGGCAAAATCCAAGAAATAATTAAAATGAAATACTGAAAAATGTTCAAATAACCTGAAAGTAGTCAGGATAAAGGGAACAGAACAACGACCAAAAAAAACATGAAGACAAACTAAAAAACAAATAAGAAAACAATATATTTAAATTCAAACATATCAATAATTGTATTAAATATAAATCATCCAAATACATTGATTAAAAGATAGACGTTAAAAGATTCAATGAATAACTGTGACCCAGCTACACGCTGTGTTTGAGAAACGCACATTAAATATAATGATACAGATAGGTTAAAAGGATGGAAAAAGATATAACATGGAAACACTAATCAAAAGACAGTGGAGTGTCTACATTAATAGCAAACAAATTAGGCTTCAGGAGAAGGAAAATTTCCAGAGATAAAGAGTGACATAACATAATGATAATAAGATCAATCACCAAGAAGAAAAGACAATCTTTGATGCATGTGCACATAAAAAGTGGGACTTCAAAATACATGAAGCAAAACCAAATAGAACTAAAATAAGAAATTAACAAATTCACAAATACATTTGTATGCTCCAAAACTTGTCTCTGAGGAATTGATACAACAAACAGACAGAAATCAGCAAGGATATAGAAGATCTGAACAACACTATCAGCCAACTTTATTTAATTAACATTTATAGAACACTTTATCCCAAAGCAGCAGAATACACATTTATTACAAAGGTACCTGGATCTCAAAATAAATCATATCCTGAGATGTAAGGTAAAATTTAATGATTTTAAATTTATTGAAGTCTGCTTTAATGTATGCAGAAAGCATTAAAAATCTCCTTTCTGGCCATAAGGGAATTAAACCAGAAATCAATAACAGATGTTTGGGAAATCCTCAAATATTTGGAAATTTAAAAACACACTTCTGACTTTTCCTATTTGAAGATAACATAATGATTTGTGTTGAAAATTCCAAGGGATTTTCAAACTATCCTAAAACTAATAACTGAGTTTTTCAAGGTCACAGGATACAAGATCAACACAGAAAAATAATGTTTCTGTATACTAACAATGAACAGGTGGAAACTGAAATTAAAAACACATATTGTTTATAATTACTCTTAAAAATAATTAGGTACAAATCTAACAAAATGTGTACATGATTGTTATGAGTTGCTAATAAAAGAAATCAAAGAAAACCTAAATAAACAGAAGACATACCATGTTCATGGATTGAAAGACAATATAGTAAAGATGACAATTCCCCCCAACTGATCTATAGGTTTAATGCAATTTCTATTCAGATCTCAGCAAGGGCTTTTGTAGATGTAGCAAGTTAGTCTTGATTTTATATAGAAATGTTCAAGCCCCTGAAAAAATAAATAAGTTTAAAAAAGAAGAAAGTGGAAAAGGTCATTTTACCCAATATTAAGGCTTATTATTAGTATTGTTATTGTTGTTATTTGTAGTTACAGTACTTGAGGTATTGTAGTATTGGTGCAGGGACAGACCCATAGATTAATGCAACAGAATAGAGATCTGGAAATAGACCCACACAAATGTGACCAACTGATTTTTTACAAAAGTGCAACTCAGTGAAGGAAGGATAGGCTTTCCACAAGTGGTACTAGGGCAATCAGACACCCACAGGCAATAAAAAGGGGACAAAGAGAGAATCTTGCTCTAAACCCCTCAGCTTATGAAAAGTTAACAGAGAATGGATCACAGACTTAAATATAAAATGTAAAAGTACAAAACTTTTGGAAAAAATAGAAGAAAATCTTCAGAAGCTAAGGCTACATAAAGTTCTTGGATTTGGAATAAAAAGCACAATGCATGAAAGTAAAAATTAATACTCTAGGCATCATCAAAATTTAAAACTTTCACTGTGCAAGAGACCTTCTTGAAAGATAAAAAGACAAGCCACATGCTGGGAGAAGGTACTTGCAAACCATATGTCCAACAAAGAACTGTTATTTATATAAGTATCTATATGTAAATAACCATCAAAACTCAAAAGCAAAAACAATTCAACAAGAAAATTAGAAAATGGACAAATGTCATGAATGGACATTTAACCAAAGAGGATGCATAAATGACAAGTAATCACATGAGAAGATGTTCAACATTATTAACCTTCAAAAAAATAAAAAAACTATCATGAAATATCACAACACTTATCAGAATAGCTAAAATTAGAAAAAATAGTGATAACACTAAATTCTGGTGAGAATGCAGAGAAACTGGACCACTCATACATTGCTGGTAATAATGTAAAATGATACAGCTGTTCTGAAAAGCAGCTTGGCAGTGTCTTATAAAACAGAATGTGTGCTTACCATAGACAACCCTCAAATTGCACTCTTGACCATTTATTTTAGAGAACTGAAAATTTGTGTTCATACCAAAACCTACGCACAAATGTTTAGGTGCTTTATGTGCAATAACCAAAAATGAGGGAAAAAACACAATTATGTTTCAATGGGTGAATGGTTAACTAACCTAATGTACCTCCATACCGTGGAATACTGCATAGAATTTAAAAATAATGAATTGCAGATAACATGCAACCCCTTGGATGGATCTCAAGGGAATTATGCTGAGTGACAAAAAGCCAATCCCGAAAGGTCACACACTATATGATTCTATTTATGTAACCTTCTTAAAATGATAAATTACAGAGATTAGGAATAGATTAGTGGTTGCCAGGTATCAGAGGGAGGGAGAGTTATGTAGGTGTGATTATAAAAAGGTAGAAGATAGCACAAGGGATCTTTGCGGTGATGCAACATTTCTGTATTTTGACTATGGTTGTGATTACGTGAATTTATACATGGAAAAAATTGCATAGAACTAAATACATTCACACAAATTGGTGCATGTAAAACTACCAAAATCTAAATGAGATTGGTGGATTGTATTGATACCAATTTCCTGATTGTGATATTGTACTATAGCTATGCAAGAGGAAACCACTTGGAGAAGCTGTGTGAAGGGCACATGAGATTTCTAGGATTATTTCTTATAACTGCATGTGAATCTACAATTATCTTAAAATTAAAAGTGTCATTTAAAAAGACACACTTGTAAATTATCATAGATCAAAAAGAAAGTCTTGGGCAATAAAAAATAATTAAACTGAATGAAAATGAAAATACAACATATCAAAATTTGTGGGAAACAGCTAAAGCAGTGCTTAGAGGTAAATTTGTAACTGTAAATGCATGTAATAGAGGAAAAAAATAGAATGGTCTAAAATCAATAATCGAAGCTTTCACCTTAAAAAACCATAACACCCAAAGCACGCAGAAGCAAGGACATAAAAGGTAAGGACAGACATCAATGAAATGTAAAACAGCAAACCAATAGAGAAAAATCAATAAAACCACAAGCTGGTTCTTTGAAAAGATCAACAAAATTCATAAACCAGACTAATAAAGAGAGAAGACACAAATTAGCAACATCAGGAATAAAAGTGAAGATATTACAGATCCTACAGATATTAAATATATAATAAGATACTACTTAAACAAATGTCATATATTTGACAACTTAAATGAAATGAACAAATTCCTTGAAGGTACAAACTACCAAAGTTCACTCAAGAAGAAATAACCTGAAAAATACTGCATCTATTCAAGAAATTGAATTCATAGTTAAAACTTTTCCAGCAATAAAAACAAAAAAACTCCAGGCCCAAGCAGTTTCAATTAAAAGTCAGGTACTTGAAAATTGCAGCACCATAATAAGCAGTCACTACATAAATAGGGTAACCCCTTTGGAGAAAAAAATCTGTTTAGCCCACTAACTAGCTGAACTATATTACTGATTATACAAGAAAACAAAATCACTCTTCTTTAACCTCATTTTGAAAAGCTACTATCATTCCAATCTGGGATGCCAGGAATATACCTACTCTGGTGATGCCTTGGTAATAAATCCAGGACTCCTCTTGCCTACAGTCCTTTCAGAATCCAGAGGGGACTCAGAGCTTTGGGAGGCTGAGGCAAGAGGATCACTTAAGGCTGGGTGTCTGAGACCAGCCTGGGCAACATAGTGAGATCCCATCTCTACAAAAGTTTTGTTTGTTTGTTTTTTAATTAGCCAGTCTTGGTGATGTGCACCTGTAGTCCTAGCTATTTGGGAAGCTGAGGCAGGAGGATTGCTTGAGCCCAGGAGTTCAAAGTTGCAATGAGCAGATCATATAACTTCTGTACGATTGTACAGATTGGGCCATTGCATTTCAGTCTGGGTGACAGAATGAGACCCTCTCACTTAAAAAAAAAAAAGAAGAAGAAGAAGGAGAAGGAGAGGAAGAGGAAGAGGAAGAAGAAGAAGAGGAAGATGAAGAAGAGGAAGAAGAAAAAGAAGAAGAAGAAGAGGAAGAGGAAGAAGGAGAAGGAGAAGAAGAAGAAGAAGAAGAAGAAGAAGAAGAAGAAGAAGAAGAAGAAGAAGAAGAAGAAGAAGAAGAAGAAGAAGAGGAAGAAGAGGAAGAAGAAGAAGAAAGCCTAGAGGCGGAAGGTGAACAAGTGTCCTTGGAGTTGCCAATAGGGGGGAATTTGCACAGATTTGGCAGCTGTTTCTGGTGGTCATCATTAGTTCCCAGTGCATCTATGGGATCTGAGGAAACCAATGCTAAGTAAGCATAGCAGCAAAGTATAGAGTGTAGAAATCAGAGCCGGAAAAAGTAAGATGTATATACCTTGTAATAGTGTCAGATAATTCATACAGGACTGTGTATCTAATAGCATAGTTTATTCTTTTAACAGTATCCACAGTATATCCCAATTAATGATTGGCTGCACATGTCAAGAAAGGATAAACCACCCTATTCTGCAAGAGTGACATCATCTTTCCTCCGGTGTTGCCAGGGGTGCTCCCTAAACAAGCCTGTTCCTTCACATTAGTGCCCTCCCTGTCTATGCATGACTCCACCTTGACTGTTCAACCTCCTGTGACACACAATGGAACTGCTGAGTTGGCACTGCTTGGAAATGTTCCTGTTTGCACTAATTAAAAATACACTTCAATAAAAATTAGCTTCTGAAGGCCACCTGTTAGTTATAGAAGTCTGCACCATTATTTTCAGTGCGCAATTTCTAATTAAAGGATCATTGCCTGAAAGACCTTTGTACATGCAATTACCAGCAACAAAGGGAAGCTCAGTAAGGAGTGTGCAGCAGTACCCAGGACTTGACCGGGGAGGGCACAATGTGACCAATCAGGCCAGCGAAGCCACTGAGGAACAGGCTACTATTAATTCAGAATGGCTCTTCTCAGACCAACTATTAACTTAATTAAACTGGCTGTTGTGCGTTTACATTTAAACAGCATACTTATGAAAATTGTTAGGCAGGAATTCTTGCGAATTACTTGTTTTTTCCTGTCGTCACGAGGTTTCCAGTAGCCTACTCTGTTTTGACAAGGAGACCTGAGGCCATCTGAGCCCACCTTGTTTATCATCCCCACCATCCTCCAACTCTGCTGGCCACCCGTCCTCCCTGGCATTGCCATCTCCATGCAGCTGTCCCAACTTTCTCCCACTTGGAATGCCATTATTTGCCACTTTCCCCACTTTCTCTTTAGTACCCTCTGGATCTTTGTCTACTGGAAACAAAAATTGTTTAAGCCCTCATCAAATGCTCCTTCCATTACTAACACCTTGCTCTGCACTGGGGCATGGGTTCTAGCCCGTCTAAGCAGTCACTGCCCTTTTTCCCGGTCTCTACACATCCTCAGGTGAGTGAGCACTCTTCTATCACTCTTCTGCAAACCATCACTCACCCCCTTTGAGGCTCATGCCATCAGCTCTGCTACACTGTCCCCCAAATTTGCTCTACCGCCCCTTGCCTGAGCTCCAGATCGTCTCCTGTAATGCCCCGCAGATGCCTTATCTTTAGTAGGGCCCCAAGATCTCTCCATCTGTGGCCAAACCCACGCCTCCTCCCAACCTCCTCACAGAGCGTACACCCTTCAGCACATGCTGATCGTTCCCCTGACTGCTCACTGGTCCTTGTGACAAACTCCTGGCCAACATTTCAACCTGTGTATTGAGTCACCTCGATAAAAGAATTCCTAATCATGCTCAAGCCTCCAGGAAGTGTAAAGATCTCACTCCTCTCTTCTCTTATTAAATAATGTACTTTGTTGTAATATAACAATATTTAATTTTTTTTTTTTGAGTCGGAGTCTCGCTCTGTGGCCCAGGCTGGAGTGCAGTGGCATGATCTCGGCCCACTGCGAGCTCCGCCTCCCGGGTTCACGCCATTCTCCTGCCTCAGCCTCCTGAGTAGCTGGGACTACAGGCGCCCGCCACCGCGCCCGGCTAATTTTTTTGTATTTTCAGTAGAAACGGGGATTCACCGTGTTAGCCAGGATAGTCTTGATCTCCTGACCTCGCGATCCGCCCACCTTGGCCTCCCAAAGTGCTGGGATTACAGGCTTGAGCCACCGCGCCCGGCGGTTAGTTAATGTGGTTTCTCCCAATTGACTTAGAACATACTAAAGGCTTTCCTCTTCTCTTGTCCTTCTTCTCTTTCTCCTCCTCTCCTCTTCTTCCTCCTCCTCTCCTCCTCTTCCTCCTCCTTCTCCTCCTTCTTCTTCCAGTATTTTATTTTTTATGTTCTTGTATATAGTTCCATATCTGGCTATTAATCCCTGCAAATGAAGAACTGAATAGGATGCAACATGTCTGAATAATCAGCCTTCATTTGACAGATGAGAACATTGAAACTGAGGCCCAGGGAGGTGATACTGTCTCACGTGTCCGTATGAAGAGACCACCAAACAGGCTTTGTGTGAGCAACAAGGCTGTTTATTTCACCTGGGTGCAGGTGGGCTGAGTCCGAAAAGAGAGTCAGCAAAGGGTGGTGGGATTATCATTGGTTCTTACAGGTTTTGGGGATAGGCGGTGGAGTCAGGAGCAATGTTTTGGGGGCAGGGGGTGGATCTCACAAAGTACATTCTCAAGAGTGGGGAGAATTACCAAGAAACTTCTTAAGAGTGGGGGAGATTACAAAGTACATTGGTCACTTAGGGTGGGGCAGAAGCCAATCACAATGGTGGAATGTCATCCGTTAAGGCTATTTTCACTTCTGTGGATCTTCAGTTGCTTCGGGCCATCTGGGTGTATATGTGCAGGTAACTGGGGATATGATGGCTTAGCTTGGGCTCAGAGGCCTGACTATGATTTGTGAGAGTCACACAGCTTGTGTCAAGCCAGGACTGGACTCTAGATCTAAATCCCAGCCCAGGGATTCTTCATAGTATGTGACACTTCCTTTCTATACCTAGGTGCACTTCAGGTTTTAAGTTAATAACTTGAATCATTAAATCATGTACATTAATGTACATAAAGACACATCTACTCTGTTAAAAGATGTTGGAAGACTTCTAAGAATAATGAGAATATGCCTGTAATTTTTAAACACCCTCTCAGAAACCTATAAAAAGGAATCATAAGAATGACAACTAAACTGAAAGGAAGGAAACCTTCTGTCATTTTTACCAATTTGAAAAACTATCAGCCAGAGGGAACACAGTTTAAATTTAACTATATAACAACCTTATTCACTGACACACAATGATGCAATGTGTTAAGTGAATCAGCTTTTGGTAGGTGTGTAGGGAGCCATTGGAACATCCCAAAGCCTCTCAAGTAGGTAGCTGGTTGCCCTCCTTGATTCTGGAACATTCTCCCACTTAGTATCCTCGCTGGGATGGGGGCTTGAGTGTTTTCGATCAGGATGTGCTAGAGAAGGAATGACATACAAACCTATACAAGATGCTGATGGAGTCCTACCAGGCTAGACTGTAATTTATGAATATAATCAAGCAAAGGTAACTTATTGGACTCTTGAGGAGAATGAGCAAACAGAAAGGAAATTAAACCAGGCAATTGGTCTGAAGGACTTTCAATTAAAAAGATTTACTGTAGGAAACAGAAGATATCTTTTATAAATTCTGACTGGTATTCACAGTGACACCTAAAAGAATAAAACCACAACAAAAACTCCTAGAACCAACTAGGTATACAGAAAATAGTTGTAGAGGAGAGAACGATCATCGAAGAAGTACAACATTAAATCAAGGAACTGAACACTAAAAAGAACACTGTTGAAAATAAAATTTGGGGCCGGTCAAATTCCCCTAATGAGCAGATACTTTTCTTACCTGACTTTTAAAGGGGCTCTTTATCCCAGGATAAAGAGTAGTATTTGACCAAAAATGATTTTTTTTCTCCACCTGTGATGGTTAATTTTAGGTGTCAATTTGTCTGGGCCACAGGGTGCCCGGATGTGTGGTTAAACATTATTCTGGGTGTGTCTGTGAGGGTGTTTCCAGAAGAGATTAGCCTTGAACTGGTGGACTGTATAAAGCAGAGGGCCCTCCCCTCCCCAAGATGGGTGGGTCTCATCTGAGGCATTGAGAGCCTCAGTAGAACAAACAGCAGAGGAAGAAAGCATTTTCTCTCTGCCTGGCTGCTTGAGCTGGCACATTGATGTTTTCCTGCCCTGGTGCTCCTAGTTCTCAGGCTTTCAGACCCAGACTGGAATCTGCACCATCGACTCTCCAGGTCTCAGCCCTTCCAGCTAAACCACCAGCTTTCCTGGGTCCCCAGCATGCAGACTGCAGATCATGGGACTCCTCAGCCTCCATAATTGGTTGAGTCAATATTTTATAATAAATCACATATATATAATATACAATTATATGTATTTATATTATATATACTAATAATAAATATGTATATATATATTATAAATATACACACATACATACACACACACATTATATACTATTGGTTTCATTTCCCTGGAGAATCCTGACTTATACACCACCCTAAGATATTGAAACTGCTTGCAACTTCCAAATTCTCATTGCATGCAATATTGAAAATTAATGCGTTTTAAACTTTTCTTTTTTTTTTGAAACAGGATCTCACTCTGTTGTGTAGGCTGGAATACAGTGGCAGGATCATAGCTCACTGCAGCCCTGAACCCCTGGGCTCAGGTGACCTCAGCCTCTGGAGTGGCTGTAATGACTGGCATGCACCACAATGCCAGCCTCATTTTTAACAATTTTTTTAGTAGAGATGGGGTCTCACTATGTTTCCAGCCTGGTCTCTAACTACTGACCCCAAGCAATCCTCCTGCCTCAGCCTCCCAAGTAGCTAGGCCTACAGGCGTGAGCCACCATGCCCAGCCCCCAAGGCTATTTTTTAAGGAATGGATACTAGAGGGAGAAATATGAATTAAATTCTAGATCATTTAGGATAACCCAAGTGATAAGGAGAAGAAAAGGGAAGTAAGTGCATGTTACAATTCTTGGCTTACATGAGGGCTGGTGGTTATGAATAATGTTTACTTAACTTTGATAGAATCATGTAGAATAAAATACATTTGTTATAAAGGTGACCACTGTTAGAATAACACTTAGATGTAATATTTCATATTGCTAGGGGAAGAAAAAAGGACAAAAAATGATCAAAGAAGGAAGAGGCAGGAAAGGTGAAAAGAGGAAGCAATAAGAAATCATAGTGAATAGAAAACATAAAATAAGAAGGCAGGAGAAAGATTGGATATGACGTTAATCACAATAAGTAATAATGTACATGGAACAAATTATTGCCCTTGCTATGTCTTATATTTGAAAATAAAAGAATAAACAACATAAAAAAGCAAAAATTAGCTAAATGGTATTTTAAGGTACATACCTAAAACAAAATGATAAAGAGAAAAAGGTAGAAAATAAAGAAGTGGGCAAGGATATATCAGGAAAATGCTAACAATGACAAATGGCAAAAATACCAACATCACACAAAGCACATTTTATAGTCAAAAACATCAAATAAG